>NC_000015.10:89320066-89471581 GCF_000001405.40 Homo sapiens | reverse complement strand
TGAACCTGAGCTCTCCCAGGAGACAACTTAGCTGCCAGTCACCACCTATGAGGCTCTTCTACCCCGTGCCTGCACCTCGGCCAGCATCTCCTATGCTCCCTGGGTCCCCCAGACCTCTCTGTGTTGTGTGCGTGGCAGCCTCCAGGAATAAACATTCTTGTTGTCCTTTGTAAAATGGTGTGAATGCTCCAATGGGGCCAGTTTGAGGGAGAAAAGGACCCAAGAGACCTGCTTCTGCCCCAGCCCTTACCTTCATCCAAGGGTACCACCCACACTGCGAGGAAAGTCATTGCAGGCTGAACAGGCAGAACTTGGGTACTAGAGCCTGCCTTCAGCCTGGGGCACCCAGCAGGGCTCAGCTCTGGGCTGGGGTCTTGCTTCAAGGCCCCTCCATCAGCTACTCCAGAAACTCAGCCCTTGAGAAAGCTGGCATCTCTGTTGTGCCCTCCATGTGGTCCTGCTCTGGGCACTCCAGCAGGACTGCGAGAAGGGAGGGAGGGCTCCTTTGGGCCCATCTCCTCCTCCCCATCCCTTCCCTTCTTTCTCTCTGCCAAGCCAGCCTTCTTTTCCCTGGACAGTGGGGTAAGGTTTCAGGAGGGTAGATCTCCCAGGCTCACCACCACCCTGGGCAGAGTAATACACCTTCCTGCCCTCAGGGGCTCACAGTCTAGCTGGGAGACAGACCTGACCCTCAGAATCCATGCTGAACTCTGACAGGTGTGGCTGGACAGGAAGTCTGTACCCAGTTGGCTTCTCAAAGCAGGGCCACCTGAGCAGGGTTCTGGAGGCTGAATAGGAGTTTACCAGAAGGATGGCAAAGAAACAGCATGGGCACAGACCCATGGGTAGGAATTAACACGGTGAAGTCTGCTACTGGCTAGAAGAGATGTGAGGCAGAAGTGTGCCAGTTGGAGAATAAGACTTGGAATCCGGATCTTTTGTGGAGCAAAGGCTCCTGGGAAGAAGGGGTGAGGGAAAAGGGAGGAGGTCTCTCAGCTTCCAACTCCGCCCTCCCCGCCCCCTTGCAATTCACACACACACACACACACACACACACACACACACACACACACACACACACACACCGCTGCATGCCTCTTACCAGTGCAGGGGGGAGGGGAAGGAGGGATCTGAAATGCAACCTATTCATGTACCCGCGATGTAACACCCCTCATTTTCCATGCTGGGTAAAGACAAAAACCCTTTACAACCTGTTTCTGGAACTTGTCAGCAGCTGCCAAGAGGAGCATGTTAATTAAACGTCGGCAAAGATGGAAGCCGGAGACCCTGGCTCTAATTGGACAGTTTGCTTCACCGGATTGAAAAACATTGTGACAAAGGAGAAGGTGCGCGGCGCTCGGCAGGGGTGCGGCGTGGCGGGGAGGGAGCTGTGGCTTTGATTTCAGCTGATCTGAGCCCCAGCCTCCCTCCCCCAGCAGAGCCGCTTGGCCCAGCCCCATATGCCTATGAAGGGCCTGGGAGGGGCCCGCAGCGTGAGAGGGTGCAGGGTGGCGTGGGGGGCGGGGTGCGAAGGGGTGCTGGGGGGGTGGTTCCTGAAGCCCACCTCCCACCCCTCCCACCCCAATCCCAGGCACCACCAGGCCAACAGTATTGGGCCCAACCCAGAGCCAGGCTTTTAGGGCTCTGGGGCTCACCCCTCCTCCTGATCACATGACCTGGGTCCTGGGGGCTGCACAGGGAGGGGAGGGGGCCAGCGCTGGCTTCCAACTCCCTCCTGTGCAATGTGCAGGCTACACTAAGAGCCTATGCCCACCGCGTCTGTTACCAGTTGAGGATAGTTGTCCAAGTTCTTGGCATTTTGAACAAAGAATTAGACCAAATGCACAAAGCAAGGCAGCAAAAGCAGAGATTTATTTTAAACGAAAGTACACTCCACAGGGTGGGAGCGGGCTCGAGCAAGAGGCTCAAGAGCCTGGGCTACAGGATTTTCTGGGGTTTAAATACCCTCCAGGGGTTTCCCATCTGTTCACTCTATGCACATAAAGTAGTGGCCCGCAACCAGTCTGATTGGTTGCGGGAGGGAACCAATCCGAGGTACTTTCATTTCCAACTGCCAGGCAGCAACTGCCATGCAGAAAAAGGAGGGGTTGAAAGGGAGTAGCCTCTGATATCCAGTCAGCATGCATCGAACTTAGGTTCCCTGCCTCCAGACCCTATTCTCCTGCCTCATTTCCCCCGAGAGACATGATCCCCAGAAATCTTTATGGGAGACAGAGTGACTGATGGTCTTTCTTCTGTAACTGCGTCACCCTGACTTGAGGTGCAGTCCCTACCTATTGGGGATCCCCGAACTCCTGCCTTTATCTATCGAGTGGAGACTGGGTAGTTTCTTGATGGCCAGGGGTGCTGCCTTCATTTGGAACAGGCTGGAAACCTTGTCACAGGATCATCTGAAACTTGATGGTCTCTAGGTGAGAGGAAATGAATTTGGTTAAAAGATTTAATGGGAACTTCAGGGGGTGGATACCTATGCTGTCAGGAATGTTTGTTATAGGAATGAATTACAACAGTCTGCTTAGTCACTACAAAGGAAGTGATTCCAATCGTTTGAAAGAAAGCACCTAAACTGCAAGAAATCTGAGAACATGGCTGCTATTATCCAGCCTACAGTAACTATGCAACAAAAACACCAAGGAAAGTTGGTAGGCATTTACTTGTCTTTTGACTGTCTGATGGAAACTTCAGGCTCCTGGTCCCTGGCTTCAGGTATCACAGACTTGATCCTTGAAAGATGTATCCAACTATCTAATCCTAGTACCTTGACCATAGAAGGCATAGCCAGTACCACTAAAAACGGTCCCTTCCATTGGGGTTGCAATTGTTGAGCAGGTGATCCCTCCTTCTATGTTTTAACAAGTACCTTATCCCTTAGCCTGATTTTGGGTTGCTGGTTAGTTCCCGGTATGGTGGGGCCTTTGAGTTCCAAACTTTTGTAAAGCCTGCTGAAATTGTCTTAAGTTAACTAGGTATCTTGCTAAACTGGCTGTTTCTGGATCAGTAATTAAATCACTAGTTAAGAATGGCCTTCCATATAACATTTCATAGGGGGTTATATTAATTTTTGCTCTAGGGGTATTACGGATCCTTAAGAGGGCTATAGGCAGTAAGCTGACCCAAGTTTTTGATGTTTCCTGACATAGTTTAGCTAACACTCATTTTAGAGTTTGGTTAGCCATTTCTACTTTCCTGGAGGATTGAGGCCTCCATGCTGAATGTAAATAGTATTTGATTCCAAGAGCCTTAGCAACCCCTTGAGTTATTTGGGAGATAAAAGATGAGCCATTATCACTTTGGAGGCTCTGAGGTAACCCAGACCGGGGGATTATTTCTTTTAAGGGAAACTTTATAGCCTCATTAGCCTTCTCTGTTCTGGTAGGGTAAGCTTTGACCCAACCAGTAAAGATATCTATTAGCACTCACAAAAACTTGTATCCTCTGCAAGCTGGCATATGGGTGAAGTCTAATTACCAGTCTTCCCCTGGGTAAGTTCCTCTCCTCTGGTCTGGTTCTATTAGAGGAGGCATTTTGTTTCCTGGGTTAAGTGCACACAGTGAGCAGGCTTGACAGGCCTGCTTAACCACCGAAGTTAAGTTAGGCCCAATGAAGAGCCTGTTAACCATGGCCAGGGTGGCATCTCTCCCCATATGGAAGGAGTCATCCAGGGTTTTTATAATTCTCCATTGGGCTGTTTGAGGCAGATGTATTTTTGATCTCATATACCACCAGGATCTTTTTTTTTTTTTTTTTTTTTTTGCCCCACTTGCTCCTTTATTAACTGTTCTTCCTGTAGTGTGTATTTGGGATCCACTGGGAATCATAGAAAGGAATCAGTGCTAGGATCTGTTGGGATTGCACCCTGAGGGATGTGGCTTTGGCTTCTCTATCAACCTTTCTGTTCCCTTGTGCTATAGGAGTTAAGTCCCTTTGATGCCCCCTACAATGGATTATAGCTATGGCCTGTGGCAGGTGTATTGTTTACAATAGCTGAAGAATTTCAGGCCCATGCTTTATGGGGGAGGGTTTGCTAGCTAGTAGTCCCCTTTCTTTCTAGATTGCAGCATAAGCGTGAACCACAAGGAATGCCATATTTAGAATCTGTATAGATGTTAAGCTTTTTATTTTGTCCCAAAATTAATGCTCGGGTAAGAGCAATGATTTCAGCCTTTTGTGCTGATGTGCCAAGGGGCAGTGGCTGGGCTTCGATAAGGGTGTTGTGATTGACTATTGCATACACAGCTCAGTGTTCCCCATTTGACACAGAACTGCCATCTGTGAACAAGTCCTCAGAATCTGGGAGAGGCTGATCTTTTAAATTAGGCCAGCTAACATATGCATGTGCAATGACTGGCTCGCAGGAATGATCTGTCATTGGGCCTATGGGTATCAATGAAGCTGGATTCAAAGTGTTACAGGTTTTAAGGGTTACATCTGGATTGTCTAGGAGCACGGCCTGGTATTTGGTTAACCTTTCCCCCATCACCCAGATGTGTCCTTTTATCTCTAAGACTGACTTTACCTGATGGGGGGTTAGAACTTCCAGTGATTGGCTCAGGGTGATTTTAGTGGCTTCCTCCACTAACATAGCAATGGCTGCTGTTACCCACAGGCAACTTGGCCATCCCAAGGCCACTCTCTCCAACTTCTTTGAAAAGTAGGTGTTTGGTCTGGGTTCTGATCCTAATTTCTGGACTAGCACTCCCACAGCTATGCCATTCGTCTCTGCTACATACAAGGGAAGGGCTTAGTTAGGTCTGGGATCCCAAGAGCTGGAGCCTGGGTAAGGGCCTATTTTAGCTTGGCACAGGCTTCTCTCATTTCCAGGGTCCATTCCATTAGCTCATTTTCAGGCCTCCTTGTTGCTTCATACAGGGGCTTTGCTATGAGCCCTAAATTTGGTACTCATATTCCACAAAACCTGGCCATTCCCCAAAAAGAATGAAGCTGCTGCTTGGGGTGGAGGGGCCCAAACCACATATGGCTTGCACTCGTTCTGGGGATACTTGCAGGTTCCAGGTGTTAAGATGTACCCTAAACAGTGGACCTGTTGGAGAGTAATCTGAGCCTTCTTTTTGGACACTTTGTATGACCTGTCAGCCGGGAAATGTAAGGTTTTTATAGTATTTTGGTCAGAAGCCTCTTGGGTTGGGCTATACACAAGAAGGTGATCCACATACTGGAGTATACTCCCATCCTCCAATTGCAGACCCCTCAGATCCCTCTCTAAGGGTTGGGCAAAGAAGTGGGGGCTATCCCAAAAGCCTTAGGGGAGCACTGCCCAAGTGTTTTTCTCTGGTATTAGGATTTTCCCATTCAAAGGCAAAAGGGTATTGGGACTCTGGAACCAGAGGAATGAAGAAGAAAGCATCTTTTAGGTGTAGGACTGAGAACCATTTTGCATCCCCTGGTACCTGAGCCAGTAGGGTATATAGATCCATCATCAATGGGTGGAGAGAGATAACAGCCTCATTAATTATTCTGAGAACCTATACTACCCTGTATTTCCCCAAAAGCTTTAGAACGGTTAAGATGGGGGTGTTGCAGGGAGAATTGCAAGGTTTTAAGAGCCCATGGGTAAGTAATACCTCAACTATGGGTGCTAGGCCTTTTCTTGCTTGCAGCTTAATTGCGTATTGTTTTCAATTGGGAAAATAGCTGGGGTCTTTAAGCCATATTTTGACTGGCACTGCTGTTTTGGCCTTCCCTAGTTTCCCAGCATACCATACTAGTGAGTTAACCTGTTCATTAATGTGGTCTGGGACATTGTATTTTCTACTATTAGCAATTTCACCAGGTGATGCTTAAATTGTAGTAGTGCCCCTATTTTAACCATAGTATCTCTTCCCAACGGGGGGACTGGGCATCTTGGTACTACTAGAAATTCCTGTTGGAAGATTTGTTTCTCAAATTGACAAATCAAAGGAGGAGTAAACAATCTTTTTTATGGCTTTCTTTCCATTCCCATAACACTCATGGACCGGGAAGAAAGTTTTCCTGTATAAGCAGTAAGAACAGAGTAATCTGCCCTTGTATCAAAAAGAAAATGAATTTGGGTGCCCATGACATACAGAGTTACCGGGGGCTTCTCAGTAGTAATTACGATATTCCTGGACAGGGGCAGTGAGGAAGACCTGGGGCCCCTTCAGTCTTCATCTGATTCCTCCTTGTGCACAGCTAGAGTTTTGCCTGATGAAGCTCCTTGGTGGGAGCAAAGGTAATCAATCCTCCAGTGCCAGGGGTCATAACTGGTGCCCTCACATTTTCAGCAGGGGCCTGGAGGGGGAGTAGTACAGTCCTTTGCCCATTTCCCAGTTTTCTTGCACTTGAAGCAAGAGCCCTTTCTGGCATCATCCTTATGGCCCTTTGGGTTTCCCTTGGATGCTTTTTGGGCATTCAGGGCATTGCCAATGATGGCTGCCATACTTTTGGCTTGCTATTTTTTTTTACTCTGTTCCCTTTTTCCTTCCACCAGATCACGATGGTTATACACCATAAAGGTGGTATCAAGAAGCTGATTATGATTAGTTTGGGGCCCCATCTGTAGCTTTTGGAGCTTATGTCTAATGTTTGGGGTGGATTGGTGAATGAAATGTGCCACTGATATTTTGCTTTCAGGAGAGGAAGGGTCCAGATTAGTATATTTTTTAAAGGCTTCCTTCAGTCTGCCATAAAATGTGGCTGGATTTTCCTCCTTGCTCTGTGTAACCTCACTTTATCATAATTTACTGCCTTAGTTATTCCCTTTTTCATTCCTCCAAGGAGAGCCTCAAGAAATTTAGCCCAGTTGTTCATTCCCACAGGTGTGTTATAGTCCCAATTAGGGTCAGTAGTGGGGACTGTGTCTGGGCCCAGGTGATTGCCCTGAGGGTTTTGGGCAAATAAGTTGTCTGCTTCCTGGCGGGCAGCCTCAAAGATTCGTTCCTTTTCCAAAGGGGTGCAACAAGTTGCTAGAATGAATTGAACATCTCTCCATGAGAGATCAAAGGCTAAGGTCAAAGTTTGGAACCCATCTGCGAATTTCCTGGGATTCTCGGAATAGCTTCCTTGCTTTTCCTTACATTGTTGTATATCAGTTACAGAGAAGGGGGCCTGCACTAGGACTGGCCCCTCAGCTCCTGCTACTTCCCTAAGGGATAGCAGGGCTGGCGGGAGAGTTGAATATGGTGTTCTTCTCCAAGTGTGAGGGGGACTTAGTAGGGTCCCCAGTGTTGTGGTTTTAGCCTCAGGAGCACTTGGCAAGGGGCTATATGGGGGTGGTTTCTGTCACCCTGAGAGATAGGTGGCCCTTGTAAAAAGGGGTTGTCTATATCTAGTTCTGCCTTTGGACTTTCCTTTGAGGGGATTATTGGGTTTCAGTATAGTGCCATGAAGGCCTGTACATATGGGATTTCTGACCATGTGCCCTGCCTTTTACAAAATAGGTCTAATTGCAGGATGGTGTCATAATTAAGGCCACCATTGACCACCCGCTGTTCCGGGCTGAGCAGCTCATAATGAGGTAAAACAGTATTGCAGAAAAAAAGAATCATACATTTTCTCTTTAGATTGTCAGGGTAAAGTTGATTTCAATGGTGGAGGATGTAGCCAAGCAGGGTACCAGGTGAAATAGATGGAGAGTGGCCCATAGAGGAATCAGGTGGAATCGATGGAGAGTTGCCTATAGTGGTCTGGAAAAGAGAAGAGGACTTTGGAAAGTGGAGGGCCCATTAGGTGACCCAAATTTTACACGGGTCATCCCCCTGGAAAAATTCTGGGCCCTGACTGGGGTCCTGGGGGACATCCCTCTTTAGGGCCCCATCTTAGTCTGTCGGACGTCTCTGACCTTAGATCTGACACCACTATGGAATGGTTTCCTCCACCACTGATGGCCCACTATGAACTTTCCCTCTTGTCCCTGGATGAAGGCCTTGATTTCTAGAAATTAATTTTCAGTCAAACCTTTGGATTTTTTCCTATCCCACTTAAAACAATTATTTAACTTTCTAAATTTAGGCAAGATTAAATTGTACATAAATTCCCTTTTATGAATCCCCCCGCATGACACACACAAACCATCTGCGCAAACCCTCTGACTTGTCCTTAGCCAGTTGAGTAGGGGAAGGGAAGAATTTAGCATAAGGAAACAAGGTTTAACTCGCCTGAAACATGAGTTCACCCTGGATGGGCTGCCACTGCCAACTGCATCACATGGAGGGTTCAGGGATGATAACTGGACAAGACGGAAAAGAGCCCTTCCCCCTTCCAGGCAGGCAGCTATCACCGGTCACTCCTTGGCCTTCAGGTAACACCAGAGAGTGGTCCTGGCCAGTTGCCCTCAATTACTAAGGAGCTGCTAGGAAACGGCCGCTGAAAGACTGAAAAAGAAAAGGACTTGGTCCCTCACCCAAGCCGGGCAGTTGGGGGTAGGCGCTTCCACATAGAAACCTTTTGTTTTCACCAGAGAGTAGCCCTGGCCACAAACCTGCAGTTGCCTCTGTGCATAGGCGCTATCTCCTGAGGGTCCTGAGTTGGAAAGGAAGAGAGAAAGAGGAAAAAGAGAAAAATAAATCCTAAACTTTGGGCTTACCTCCTGGCTGGTTCCCCAACATATGTTACCAGTTAAGCGTAGTTGCCCAGGTTCTTGGCTTTTTGAACAAAGAATTGGACAAAACAAGGCAGCAAAAGCAGAGATTTAACTTAAACGAAAGTACACTCCACAGGGTGGGAGATGCCTGGAGCAAGTGGTTCAAGAGCATGGGTTACACGAGTTTCTGGGGTTTAAATACCCTCTAGAGGTTTCCCATTGGTTCACTCTACGCAAATGAAGTAGTGGCCTACAACCAGTCTGATTGGTTGCTGGAGGGGAAGAGTAGGCCCACGACCAGTCTGATTGGCTGTGGGAGGGGACCAATCAGAGGTACTTTCATTTTTCAATTGCCACACAGACAAAGGAGGGGTTGAAAAGTCAGTAGCCTCTGATAGCCAGTCAGCATGCATCGGCCTTAGGTTCCCTGCTTTCGGACCCTATTCTCCTGCCTCACCTCCCTGGGAGAGATCTGGGTTGAGGCCCCTCTTTCCAAAACCAGCACTGGGTCACATGATCAGGTAGATCTGACAAACGTGGGCAACTGAGAAGCTCCTCCTGGTAAAGTGAAGGTCCTTAGAGAGCCCTGCAGAGCCTGAGTTTCTCTCCACAGGGATACAGGGGGTGCACACACAGACTGCCCCATCGGTGTGTTTGATGGTTGTAGTTCAAGTCCCCTCTTTGTTCTTGACTTGTGAACATTGACACAGCCTGGCAGGGAGCACTGACTGCGCTGGGCACCATGCTGAGGGTCTTATGTGCCTCAGCTCATTTAGCCTCCCAGCAACCCTGAGAGAGAGAGAGGCTGCAGCATTCCCATCTTACACGTGGGAAAACTGAGGCCCAGATGGGATAAGTCACTCAGTCAAGGTCACAGATCCTTCTGATTCCAGTGTCTGAACCTGGACTCCGTGTTTCCTGCTCTCTGGCTCCAGGCTCCAGGCATTTAGGATGACCTGACAAAAGGATGGGGTTCCTAAGTAGACAATACCCCTCCCAGGGCCTCCAGCCTGAGGTGCACAACAGATGGGGTTACAGCAGGCTGGGGGGTCACTCTGGAAGGCCCTACACATGTTCCCTATCCTCATACACATGCCCAACTTGCATCTTCTAGGGTGGAACAGTTAACAAGGGCAGAGACCCCACTTCTGTCCCCTCCTGCCTTGGCCCCTGCTTTGTCCCCCACCCCACTCCTATCCTGAGCTGCTGCCCAGTGGGAGCTCTGTTTAGGGTGGGAGGCCAGGCTGGGGCCTATGAGAGCCCCAGCAAGTACAGGAAAAGGAGGCATTGTGGCTCAGCCCCAGGGATTAAGAGATACAAATTGGATGTGGAGGGCTGAGGCCATTGACTGAAGTCCCTGTGAGCTGAGTTCCCAAGGGGGGAGCAGCCCAAGTCCTGTCCCTGGGCAGCCTGTGCCTGAACAGTGTCCAGGCAGCCTGCTGGGCCTAATCCCGTGGGAGCTGTGGCCCAAGGAGCCCCAGAAATACCGCTGCTGGGGAGAGAGGCTGCCCTTGATGGGGTCAGGCAGCCTCACCCTGGATGCTCGGGGCGGCCACCCTGAGAAGGGATGGGAGATGAGAAGGTGCACTCACAGGGGTGTGTGTGCACATATGTCCCTGGCCTGGGCGTTGTATCTGTGTGGGACCCTCTAAAGATGGGCAACCCCATGTATTAGGGGCAGTGTCAGGCCCTTTGTGTGTCTGAGGTTTGGGGCACAGGGAACGGGGCCTGAGGTGCCTGACTGAGGGAGTGAGGCATGAGAATGAAAATGGCAGAGCCCCCGCCCAGCAGGCCCAAGTGGGTGCTAAGTGTGTGTGTGTGTGTGTGTGTGTGTGTGTGTGTGTGTGTGTGTGTACTCGCACATCGTCTAGCGGGGCGCTTGAGAACAGCCCTTCAGAGGTGGTTGGAGGGGCTCTGCAAATTGTAATCAGATTAAGGGACCAATCACTTAGGGCTCTTGAAAAGGCCACAAGGTTTCTAATCAGCCCTGAGCGCCCGGCCCACAAAGCCCCGAGGAACTCGGCGGGAGTCATCCGCTGGGGGGCCAAGGGGGTGGGGGGCGTTTTTCTTCCCTCGCTGTCTCTTGTAATTATGTCAATTTGCTAGCCAAATTGTTTGCTCGAGTGGACAGGGGGGCTTGTGCCCCATTCATGTGGTAATGTGGGAACTGGCCGGCCTCCTGGCTGGGAAAATAGAAGGTACCAGGGATCCTTCTGCAGGGAGCAGGCGGGCCCAGGGGGTGTGGGGCGCCCAGGCCTCAGGAACTCATTCCTCACCGGCGTGGGGCTTTTTTCCCACCAATTCCAGCACCGTCCAGCTTGTGTTGTTCTCTGGGATGTCCCTTTGGGCTGGCTGAGATGAAGGATGGGGTAGGGAGGCAAGGACCCCCAGAGGGAGGGCTGGACAAAAGAGGTGACCTCCAGGCTCCCTCAAGGTGAAGGTGGGCAGCTCTCTGTCCCCTGTGTCTGTTCCCTTATGGGACAGGCTGAGGCTGGAAGTTTGGGAGCAGCAGAGGACTCAGAGGTGCCAGAAAGACGGGGTCCTGAAAGGGTGAGTCTCACTACACACAGATTCAGGGACAAGCAGAGATTTGGAAAGAAGTTCTTACTTTGTTTCTTGAGCCTTTAGGCAGAGGCACCAATCACTGTGCCACCCTTTGTTTACACAGTAGATCACCAAAACTGACAGCAACACAGAAAAGTAGGTACTGGGTATCCCATTTCACAGACAAGACTACTGAGGCTCAGAGAAGCTGAGTGACTTGCCCAACGCCACAGAGCTAGGAGATGAGGAGCAGAGTTTTGAACCCAGCTCTATCTGATCCCTCTGTCTCTTCTGCCCTGCCCCCACCACATGATGCCCCCGTTCATTCCTTCCTTCAACCAGCAAACAGGAACTGGCTGTCCCCCCACCCCAGTTCTGTATGATGCATTAAGGATGCAGAAGACTAAGATAACCAAGGGAGGGCACTGTCAGGGGACGGTTAGCACTAGCTCATTGGGGTGTGTGCTGTGGTCACTGTCAGCATGGGGCTGTGGCACACAGCAGTGTCAAGCCTTGGACACATTGCTCAGGAACAAAGGTCATTAGGAACAATGGTTATCAGTCCAGACACAGAACCTGCAGTGCATGCATTTCCCTGCCTCCTGGGCTACTCAGAAAGGGTCTTCTCTCCTCCCCAGGTCCCCCTTCAGCATGTAAAGACTCCTCCTCTCTTCCCTGGGGGTGGCAACCCCAACAACTCTGTTTCTCAGATTTGAAGGCCTTGTCCACCCTGGCCACTTCCCTCTGGACCCACCTGGGTTGTCAGTTTCCCTGTGAATGTGAAGAGCCCCCTGTCCACAGGTGTTCACAAGGCCACTGTTCTCACCACCCACCCTACCCTCACCACCAGTGCCCCTCACTGTTCCATTTCAGGGCCATTGGGATCTGCCCTGCTGCCAGCTGGCAGGAGGCTGGGGTGCAGGGTGGTATTGGGAGTCAGGGTGTGGAGAGAGATCTCAGAGATCAGAACCCCTTATCCCCCAGCTGGGAGAAAAGGCCAGAGTTCATGTTTACTTCCATATGGGATGATGGCCAGAAATTCATTCTTCTTAGAGCAAATACAACTGGTTAGGCAGTTACCATATGACTTCCACTGGGCAAAGTACTAGGAGGCAGGAGTGCAGGGAGGCGCAGGCACTCTGACCCTAAAGTTCCCCAGTCCTGTGAGGAGAGGCAAGACTGAAACCAATGACATAGTACCCAGTCCAGGACAGGAGAAGACTAAAGACCAATAACAGCAAACACAAGGCACTTCTATGTGCCAGGCACAGCTCTAGGCACTTTACATATATTATTAATTCATTTAATCTTCACAATAATCCTATGAGGTCAGTGCAGTTATTATCTCCATTTTACCTCATGAAGAAACTGAAGTACAGAGAAGTTGAGTAACTTACCCACAGCCACACAGCTAACTTGCAGAACAGGCCCCTGACCTCACTTCCCTCCCTCCTGGCAAAACCTACAGAGAGCAGTTAGATTTGAAGGGGCAAACAGGAGAATATCCAGTCCAGCTTTCTAGAGACTATGATGTCTAAGCTGAGTCCTGAAAGACTGGTAGGAGTTACTCAGGCAAAGGATTGGGGATGGAGGGTCCAGTGCCTGGGAGGCAACAGAACATCCAGGTCAGGAGTGGTGAGGCATGAGGCCGGAGGGGAAGGCAGGGACCTAAACAAGGGCAAATGTGGATCCTATACTAAAGCTAATGGGAATGAGTCATTGAAGAGTTTTAAGCAGTAGGGGTGACAGGATCGGGAACAGCATTCTCCACTCCCCCCTCGCTGTTGGGGATACCAACCTCAAGGCTTCATTTAATTCTAGGAATTAGTCACACTCGGTTTTGCCTCAGGACCTTTGCACAGGCTGTGCCTGATGCCTAGAATGTTTTACATACCCTATCCCATTCCATTTTTTTCCATTGCTACATGTGCCTTTTTTGTACCCTGTACTTTTTCTCCATAGCAGTAATCAAGTTTGTGTTGCTACACTTCTTTTTGTTTGTGTGTGTGTGTGTGTGTGTGTGTGTGTGTGTGTGTGTTTTATTTTTTTTGAGACAAAATCTCACTGTGCCACCCAGGTTGGAGTGCAGTGGTGTGATCTCAGCTCACTGCAACCTCTGCCTCCTGGATTCAAGAGATTCTCCTTGCCTTAGCCTCCTGAGTAGCTGGGATTACAGGCACCCGTGATGGTGTACTTCTCTGTGCCATTAGCTAACGGCCAGTCTCCCCAGTTCCACAAGGGCAGAGACCCCATCTGCCAAGGGATGAGCTGGGCACATTGCAGGATTGATCATTATTTGTTGCATGAATGAGTGAAAGAATGAATGCATGCATTCACTTTGGCTACACTGGGAGAATGAGGTAGAGGTTAGCAAGCAAAGATGCCATCTATGAACACTTATGAGGCTTTTCTGGGACTGACCCAGGTCAGCGACGTGCAGGCTGTGAATGTG
Organism: Homo sapiens; assembly: GCF_000001405.40. Lineage (NCBI taxonomy): Eukaryota > Metazoa > Chordata > Mammalia > Primates > Hominidae > Homo > Homo sapiens. The sequence continues at coordinate 89,458,004 of NC_000015.10, read as the reverse complement.
GGTGGCAGGCGTGTGAATTAAGACAATGGACATACTGAGGGGCTTGGGCATTAATTCTGATGCAGGACTTACAGGACCTAAACCTACAACCTGCTGCATTCTTCCCTTATTTGAGCATGGGCTATAAGAGTAGAAGACCCAGATCCTACCTACAGAATTTTTTCCTCAGCCTAGAAACCCCCTGCCACCTTACACACCAAAAAAAAGTTGGAAAGTTGTTCTTCGAGTTGGGGAAGGGGATAACCAGAGTGAGGGGTCTGGGCACAGCACAACCAATCAGGATGGCAGGCAGTAAGAGTGGACAAGGCTTTCACCCCTGGAACTTGCTTTGGGTGCAGAACACCTAGCAGGACCCCCATGCTGACCCTCCTTTCCTTGCTTGCTGATACACTTGGACATGGCTTTTGGCCCCTGTCCACTCTTTTCTTGTTTCCTGAAGGCACCAACAGATGCAAAGCCACCATATTAAAAGCTTTTATGCCTGAAACTCTCCTCAACAAGGAAACAGAGCTAAGGACACAGGGCTGGACCACATAGGACCACTGGTAGAGATTGCTAATTGTCCCACTCTCTCTATTCTACCCTTCATAACTATTTGTAGAATAAAGGGGCATGTCACCTCTCAGTATAAAACTACATTTCCCAAACTCCTTTGCAGCTAGCATGTGGTCACATGATCAAACTGTGGCCAATGAGTGGAAGTGGAGTACACAACTTCCTAAGTCAGGCTCCAGGAAGGAAGCCCTTTTCTCTTCCTGCCCCTTGACATGAAGATGAAATTGAAGTTGCATGTTAACAAAGGCAGAGCAACAAGACAGAAAGAGTCTGGGTCCCTGATAATTATGGGGCCACCATTCCAGCACTAGGCCATCCACCCAGATTTTTATGTAAGAGAAGTAAACTTGTGTTTAAGCCCTATTCTTGTGGGTCTTTTCATGCAGCAACCAGACTGATATCCTGACAAATATACAACCCATTGTAGGAGGGATAGGAAGGGCTCAGAGAAGGGGATGTGGGTTGGAAACACACCTTAAAGTTGTGAGGATTTGTGAATCTCAGTTTGTAAATTAAGGTAATAACACCCAATCATTAGATCACCCCTTTCTTCCCTCCCCAGCCTGGGAGAATTTTTCTCTATTCCAAGGGTGTTGGAGAAAGAAGAATCCCCTCCTTCCTTTGCTGCTCCAAGATATTGTGTCTTTGCTCACAAATCTGAATTTTTCTAGGAGCTTAGGCATTGAGAAGCAGAAGCCAGGAAGGTGGTAACATACCTGTGTTTCCTGGACAGCCCCATCCCAACAGGATGGCAGTGAGTACAGAGTGGACTACCCAAATGGGAGCAAAAGAAAGAAAAATACAGGCGTAGGGGAAGGACATAACTGATAGCTATTTACTTGGGCTCAATGGCACATGTGTGACTGGGGAAGGGCCCAGAGTCTCAGCTACAGGGACACCAAAGTGAGGAAAGACATGCAGTTGTTCCAAGCCCAGAGATAGCTGGCTTCACTAAACAAAACAACATCCAAGAGGGTTTATTCATTAGCATTTTTTTTTTTTTTGAGATGGAGTCTCACTCTGTCATCCAGGCTGGAGTGCAGTGGCATGATCTAGGCTCACTGCAACCTCCACCTCCTGGGTTCAAGCGATTCTCCTGCCTCAGCCTCCCTAGTAGCTGGGACTACAGGTGTGTACCACCACGCCCAGCTAATTTTTGTATTTTTAGTAGAGACGGAGTTCACTGTGTTGGCCAGGCTGGTCTCAAACTACTGGCCTCAAATGATCCCCCCGCCTCGGCCTCCCAAAGTGCTGGGATTACAGGCATGAGCCACTGCACCTGGCCTCATTAGCATCTTGATATAAGGAAAAGAGGAGATGTGTTGCAGTTAGATAGACTTAGAATGAAATCCATCTTTGCTAATAATTACATGTGTGATCTTTGGCAGATCACCTCACTTCTTTGAGCCTTGGTTTCCTTATCTGTAAAATGTGGAAGACAACATCTATCTCAGAGTGAGTTGTAAGCATTAAAGGGGATAATTAGCACATAGCAGATGGGCAACAAATGCTAACTATGAATATGTAGGTATAAAAAAATAGATGACCCCCACTTTCTGGTATTCTTGCCCTTGTGTAACCTTTTCTCCTTTTTGTTTGGCAGGACCTGGAACTTGCTCCTAATCAATAGAATACAGCAAAGGCATGGGATGCAGGTGATTCTGTGTACATGGTTACGTAACTAAATAGATAAGATTGTAGCACCTGTCTTGCTGGAGTGTTTCACACTCTTGCTGGCTTTGATGAAGCAGGTGGCCATTTGAGGCCCAACTGAGAGTGGCCTGTAAAACTGAGGGCAGCTGACAGCCAGCAAGAAAATGAGCCTTCAGTCCTGTAAATGCAAGGAACTGAATTGTGCCAAGAGCTGCATGAGCTTGGAAGCAGATCCTTCCTCAGTCAAGCTTCCAGATGAGGACCCAGTCCTGACCCATACTTTGATTGCAGGCTTGCAGAGGGCCCAGCTCAGCCATTCCAAGATTCTTGACCCACAGAAGCTGAGAGAATACATATATGCATCGCCTGCCTCTGAATTTGTGATAATATTGTTCTGCAGATATCTATATCTAGCTATCATAAATGATGTATGTAAACAACCACATATCACACATTTGTTTGGCCAAGCATGGTATCCCATCCCTCTGACCACGGTGATTGGCACAGATAAGGGCACTTGACAAAGCTAGGCCAATCAGCCTTCTTCCCTGGGATTTTGTAAACAAAGGCAGAGAAAAAGGAGCCTTGTCTTTCCTCTCCGCTTGCTCAGATGGTATGAAGTAAGTTTATGGTTGTGAAATTCATGTTCTTCTCCTACAGCATGGAGGAAACGCTACACAGCAGGAAAGAATAAAACTGGCTCACAAAGAGGAGCCCTGAGACACACTGAAAAAGGCTGGTTGCCATAATCTGAGTAGCAGGGACTGCCACACCTGAGGCCAGCCCAGCCCTAGATATCCCAGGTACACGAGCCATTAAATTCCTCTTTTTGCTTGTCCTGGCTCCCATTGTGTTCCCCGAGCTCCTGGAGGTCAGAGCATCTGCCAACTTCCACATAACGTCCCCAGATGGCCCAGCTCAGAAAGTTTTTCCAGAATAAGTATAGTAAATGGTGAATGGATGTGAGAACCTTACTATATGTCAAGGTCCCCAAAGAGCATTCACTTATATGACCTTATTTGATCTTTACAAACAATCCTGCATAATCATTACTGCATGAGTTAGATGGTTTTGACCATTATTATTGGGAAAACCCCAATAAAATGGCTTAAATCATAAGAGGATTTACGAATTCATATGAGAATCTCCCCAGGGACATTCCAGGCTCATAAGTCCATTCAGTTTTGCTTTCCTGTGAGTCTTACGGCTCCACACCTCTTGCCATTGGCTTCAACCTGAGGTCAATATAAAGGTGGCAAGCAGCTCTGGGCATCACATGCAGACCTAGCAGTGCTCAGGGGAAGAGGAATAACCATCTCTTCCTTTCATGTACTTTCTTCTTTTCAGACATATTTTTAAGTGAAATTATATATCTATATGTGTGTATGTATATATATATGTGTATATATATATATATGTTGGTTTCATTTTAGTTCTAGAGTCTTTTTTTTTTTTTTGAAAAATGATGTTATTTTGCAGCTTACCCCCCTTGTGTTTCTATCAGTTTTACAACATTCTCTAATTCAGTGGCTCTCAAGTGTGGTCTGGACCATCAGCATCACCATCATCTGGGAACTTACTTGCTACAAACACTTGAATGAATGCCTCCCAACCTGTTGACTCAGAAGCACTGAGAATGGGCCTGACCATCTGCATTTTAGCGGGCCTCTGGGTGATCCTGATGTATGCTCAAGTTTGAGATCTACTGCTCTAATTAACTTATTTATTTATATTTTTTGAGACAGAGCGAGAGCTCTGTTGCCTAGGCTGGAGTGCAGTGGTGTGATCATAGCTCACTACAACTTCAAATGCCTGGGCACAAAAGATCCTCCCACCTCAGCCCAAGTAGCTGGACTACAGGTGCACACCACCACACTCAGCTTATTTTTTTTTAAATAGAGACAGGGTCTCACTATACTGCCCAGGCTGGTCTCAAACTCCTGGCCTCAAGAGATCCTCCTGCCTCAGCCTCCCAAAGTGTTGGGATTACAGGACAGGTGTGTACCACCACGCCAGCCCCCACTCTAATTTATTTATCTATTTCCCTGTTGACATTCAAGTTGTTTCCAATTTTTTGTTACCGGTGCTACCATACAACCCTTTTTAAGTGCTTTTGCATCCTGTAAGAACATCTCTTCTCTCAAATTTTTCCCGGTTAATTTTTCATGTTGACTTTTCCAGATGAACTCTTCCAGATGAGTGAGTCTGCTTGTAAATTCCAGTCTCAGTGGGATTACATTGAATATATGCTTTAATTTGGGAAGGATTGACATCTTGACAATATTGAGTTTTTCCATCAAATATTGAAATCCTACAGGATTTTTAAAGTATAAGTCACACAATTATATGTAATTTAGGTATGCTTTATTATTATCCCAAATGTAACAATTGTAGAAGATACTATAATGGTCTTCTCCTTTCACTGAATTTTATGAAATTAGAAACATAATAATGAAGGGTCAAGTGTATGATCTTCTTGTTTTTCTTGAGATTGTCTCATTTCTTATGTTGGACTCTCAATTGTTATTCAGCTATGCTTATGTCTCTTTTTGAGAGCAAAGAAACCTTTCCCAGAAATCCCCCTAATAGACTTCCCATGTTCTCTTGGCTATGACAGTTTTAACAACGTCGCCCTTAAATTATACCCCTCCCTTTGAGACGTGAGGTCTATACCCTCCCTTGAATCTGAGCTAGGTGGGTCAAGTTCCTGCTTGACCAATAAACTAGGACAAAAGTGACACTGCCAGTTTCTTAGGGCTCAGACCATAAAAAACCATCAGCTTCTACTTCTTGTCTCTTGGGACACTCACTTTTGGAACCCAGCCAAGCAGGGGTCCCCTGGCCCTCAGCCTAGGCTGGGTGACCAGTCTACAGCTGGCACAACTTGCCAGCCATGTGAGTGAGCCCTCTTGGAAATGGGCCCTTCAGTCCCAGTCATCTTGGCCCACCTGACACCACATGGCAGAGACAAGTCGTCCTCACTGATTCCTGCCCCAATTACAGTTGTGTTGAGCAAAAGAAATGCTGTTATTTTAAGTTTTGAAGTAGTTTGTTAGGCTGCAGTAGCTGACTGTGCCAATGGCACAGCACACTTCGATGCCTCAACCACTCACTGGTGTGAGGACTGGGACCTCTGTGAATGACTTAAACCACCCAGAACCCTCCCCCAGAGGGTGGGGCTAGTGCTATTAATAGAACTGGGTTAGTTACCCTGTGGCTGGGCACAGTGGCTCACGCCAGTAATTTCAGCACTTTGGGAGGCCGAGGCTGGCAGATCACTTGAAGACAGGAGTTTGAGACCAGCCTGGTGGCCAACATGGCGAAACCCTGTCTTTACTAAAAATACAAAAATTAGCCGGGTGATATGGCACATGCCTGTAGTCCTAGCTACTCGAGAGGCTGAGGCAGGAGAATTGCTTGAACTCGGGAGGTGGAGGTTGCAGTGAGCTGAGATTGTGCCACTGCACTCCAGCCTGGGCGACAGAGTGAGACTCCATCTCCCCCAAAAAAAGAAAAATTATCCTTGGGACTTTAAGTTGCTCAGCAAGTCAGTATACATAGTATCATAGTATTGTGTATACAACTCTTTACAGTAATATGCATGTATAAATGTATCATGGATATATAATGTGTAGTATGCAAGAAAGAGTGCATATTCAACTATACTTGCACAGTATTTTTTATTAAAAACATCTTGAGCGTGAATCATTACATGACTGTCAATTAAATGCATACAAGATAAACACCACTGTAAATGCTAGAAGAAGGACTCAATCATTGAATAAACAAAGGAATGAGCCTGGCCTATCTGTTCATCTTTCCCCTCAGACATCTCCCCTGTTGGCCAAGTTTTGTTTATCCTTCTCTTGTGCCTGAAATGCCCCCACCTGAGTTGCTGAGAACAAGACAGTGAAGGGTCCCAAAGGCCATAGTTATGAGCAGCACATCAGTGCCTGATACACCAGGGATACACCAGCGGCTGTACCTGCAGCATAAATTGTGTGTGTGTGTGTGTGTGTGTGTGTGTGTGTACTTACACACATGGGTACTTGTGAAAAGCTGTGTCATGAAGGACCTGGCATTTCTCATGTTCCTAAGAGATGCCACCATGGCGTGATGCCAACCAGTAGCCCCAATCTCATCCCACCAAGGGAAGGGAAGGATAGGGGAACCCCCAGTATTTTAAATCCCATCCCTTAGACTGTACTTGAGGGTATTGTAGGGGAGGAGAATTTTATTTTTCACTTGATCCCCTCCTGTTCTGTTACCCTAAAAACCAATAACATTTTTTTTAATTTTAAGAATTTGAAAAATTGTGTCTCACCTGTTCCCAAATAAATGTAAACTCCTTTGATGGGCAGGTGGCGTCTCCCATCTGCAGCGCCTCCCTGGATCCCAGCATAAGCCCCGCTTCTGCCTTTCAAAGTGTGGTCTAGAACAGGTGAATCCTGGAAGTCTGCATCGTGGACCCAGCACAAGGGTCGATCTGGCTTCACCTGGGCTTCAGATGCAGGTGGGCCTGGCCCGGGCAACACAGCAAAGAGCAAATCGTCTGGGAGGGCGCTGATTCTCACCCCTCAGGGCCTGAGAACCATAGAGACATGCCCCCCACCCCCTCCCGCATCCCACCCCTCAAGGGCACTGCCCACACCTGAAGCTGTGCGCTCCCTGCCTTCTCTCCTCCCTTGGCCTCTCACCTTCTCTCCTCTTGGTCTCTTTCCTTCTCTCTGTCACTCTGTCTCTGGCTCTCTCTGCCTGTCAGTCTTGTTCTCTGTCTCTCTGTGTCTCTCTCTATCTCTCTAGGCAGCCCCATTTCCTGTCTCTCTCTCTCTCTCTGATCCTCCCTCTCTTTCTGTATATTGATCTGATCCTCCGTCTTTCTTTCTCTCCTCCTCTCTCTTCCTCTGCTCCCTTGCCTCCCTTCCCTTCTCTCCCTCTACGTCTGCCTCCTTATCTCTCTCTTCTTGTTCTCTCTCTCTCTTTCTCTCTCTCTCTCTCTCTCTCTCTCTCTGTCTCTGTGGCTGTCTCTATCTGTCTTTTTCTGTCTCTCCCACTCTGGTCTCCTCTCGTTCCCTCTCTCCCTCTCTGGAGGACGCTGCAGGATCATGCCAAGCCCAGAGGGAAGGTCAGGGCACCCTGCAGGGACCAGCACACCCTGCCACTAACATGTCACTTCTGCCTCCAGCCTGGGAAATAGCAGGGCTCAGGAAAGGCGAGGAATTGCAGTCGCTGGAGATGGGGCATCTCAATCGGGACTGACAACAGAAAGCAGAAGCCACAGAGTCAGAGGGCTGCAAGCCTGCTCCAGGGCACTACGGCCAACTGGCATGAGTTTCTGGGCACCAGCTCTGCACTGCAGCCCTCTTCTGGCTTCAGGGCAAGGGGGACAGAGGGAGAATCTGGATTTGTGTGGCCGCACCGGAGCTTCCCTTGTGAGGCAAAACACAAAAGTCTCAAACTCTACTCTCTGCAAGCTATGAATCAGTGTTTTTTAATTGGCAAATCTCCCATTTTTTTAAAAGTCTAAGTTTTCCCCTGAGGGTCTGGCACCACTGGGCTTACCCTGGCAGATCATTGCAAATTCCCTTGTCTCCCTGGCCCCTCCTCGGAGAACCTGGATGACCCCCTGTGGTAACCTGCCTGTCCTCTGTGAGCTCCCAACTGTGTGGTGTCTGGCAAAGCAGAGAGAGTCTTTGAGCAGAAGTAAAGACCCCAAGTGCTACCACCAACTTCTCATGTGACATTGGGCAAGACGCCCCTGCTCTCTGGGCCTCCGCTTTCTAATCTGTAAAATGGGAGTTTGGGTGAGCCCAGCAGCAGTAGGACTTACTTTTTTTTTTTTTTTTTTTTTTTTTTGAGACAGGGTCTCACTCTGTCGCCAAGGCTGGAGTGCAGCGGCAGTGGCATGATCACAGCTCACTGTAATCTCAAACTCATGGGCTCAAGGGATCGTCTCACCTCAGCCTCAGTAGCTGGGACTATAGATGTGCACCTCTACACCTGATTAATTTTTTTAAACTTTTGAAGAGATGAGGTCTCACTATGTTGCCCAAACTAATCTTGAACTCCTGGGCTCAAGCGATCCTCCCACCTCAGCCTCCCAAAGCCCCAGGGTTACAGGTGTGAGCCACTGTGCCTGGTAGGACTTACTTTTGAGCACCTGATGAAAGATATGGAGCTTCTTCCTAGAGAAAAAGACCTGTGCATAGAAGTGCCTGTGATTTCGGCGGTTAACCTGTCTCTCTCCTGGGGGCGCTGGGTCCCGGACTAAGAACCCCTGCTCCGCTACAAGGTCCCTTCACCCACCATCTCAGCCAACTGAGTCTGGATTCAGGTGGACCCACCGACTGAGGTCTGACTGCTGGGAGCCACCCCTTCCCCGGTGAGCCAGGGCTCTGCCTGTTTCAGCGGCGGTCCCTGCCGCCCATCGATATGCAGGAGGGGTCTGGGCTGGCGCTAGATTAGCATAGACCACTCCAGGAGGTAAAGGCCCACCGGGTGGCCTCTGTGTGCAGCGCCCGCCTTTGTCCTGGCCCAGGGACCAAGCAGGAGAGCCCAGGCGGCTCCTACACTTTTGACTGCCAGATGAAAAGGGGCGACATAAAGAGGCTGCCCGGGCCAAGCGTGGGGGCGCTTTGTGTCCCTCCAGACGGAGTTACAGACGTCTGTGAAACATCAATTACAGCTGAATAAAGACGTCTGCTCAGCCCAGACGCACCTCCTTTCAGCTGGGAGGTGTTTCCAGGCCAGGCCGGGGATGCCTTTGGCAACCTAATTTGTGACTCTGTAAGCAGCCCTGGCATTCATCACACCCAGGGAGGATGGGAACAGTCTAGGCTGGGCTGGCCCAGTGCGCAGTACAGCTCCAGGAGGTGTCCTGGAATGCGGGTGGGGGTGGGGAGAGAAAGCAGCCACTGACCTCCCTTTCCCTCTCCTCCAGGCCAGGATGGTGGGGAGGGTGCAAGCTCAGAGACACATGAATCCCCTGTATTAACCAGGCTCCCCACCCAGGCTTTCATCCATGATAAATTCGCTCCTTGCTCCAACAGCTCCTGGCTGTAACGAATTAGGGTTCACTGGTCCCTATCCCTGATGGGCTGGTGTGATGTGTTGTAAGGGGACAGGCAAAAAGAAAACCTCAGACTCAAGTCCCACGGCTACCAGAAAAGCTGAGCCCATTCCTTGACATCACTGAGTCACAGGGCCAACCCTGGCCCACCACCCTCTTGCCATGTGAGATGAATAAGGCTGCGTTTGCATTAAGTCCCTGTCCATCAATTACTTGCAGCCGGAAACAATTCTACCTGACCACACTCCTGGTTTTGCGCTTTCAGAGTGACAGAAGGGCTTGTGCCATTTAGAGCCACCTTGGGAGGAGATGACAGGGCCATGATGGGCATGAGGACCCAGGATAGGGCACTGGTTCTGGGCATGGTGAACTGGGCTGCCCCTTTCTAAATGGTGGTGGTCTCTGGGATGCCCTTGCCTCAGGAGACCTCATCCCTGGGCAGTCTTGGGCAGCAAAGGTATTTCCTGAGGACCCCGTGCACCCAGGGGCACTTGTCCTGAAACGTGCCCAGCAGGACCAGGCCAATGACCCTTTGACCACCATGTGTCAGACCCTGAACAAAAGCCAGTGAGCCACCTCTTATGGGGCTATAGAGGAGAAATGGCCCTAATAACAACCCTCTTGCTTCCTAAGCACCCATTTCTCACCCTATCTTGGATGAGGTGTGTTTAGAAGGCCCCAGAAAGCTGAAAGGAAGCCCCACGATCCACAGGACTTAGAGGCAGCCAGAGGTGTGAAGAGGATCACAGCCTCCGAGCCAGCCTGCGTAGATATAATCCTGGCTCCACTGCTCACCGGCTGGGGGACTTCAGCAAGTCAGTTGACTTCCCCGTGCCTCGGTTTCTAGACTTGCCAATGTAAGGATGCAGGCCCTGGCACACCGGGAGCAGGCGGTGGGGCTGGGGTTCCAACCTGGGGTGGCCTGCCTCCTGAGCTCACATTTGACCTACTCCCCAAAGTCCTGGGGAATGTGGAGCCTCAGTGCCCACTTTGGACCAGGACTGTGTTAGGCAATGGCCCAGAGGGAGGGGGAGCTCCCTCCTTTCCTCCAGCTCCTCCTCTCCTGGGTGTCAATCACGCCCATCAGTCCCCTGTTCCTGCTTGTGGCTGAGGCATCTGTAATGTGAGGAAGGGCCCAGGCCTGCGTGTGCCTGTGTGCTTACAAGTGCATGTTGTGTATGAGCCTGTGTGCATGTGATTGTACGTGTGTATGTGTCACAGATACATATGGTTGAGGCAGAGACCACGAACCTGCCTGATACTCTGGAGGTGCAAGACAAAGAGGGGCCACAGCCATGTCTGGATGATTGGGTGAGACCTGATGTGAGGCCAGCTAAGTAAGGCCAAGGAAACTGGGGTGGATGCCCCTGAGGAAGGAAAGTGAAGAGCAGGCTTAGCGTTGCCTTCAGCCCTGGACACTCACACGGCCAGGCCACAAGTGGTATTGTCTCAGGGCATGCACCTCCTATGACAGTGTGTACCCACTGGGGTGGGCATGTACAGCTAAGAGAATGGGAACCATCTGCTGGGGGTGGGTGACATTTCTAGGAGCTTGTAAGTAAGCCTATACCAGATCTATGAGGACATATAAGATCATTCATATTAATCCTTTTGAATAGCTAATACTTTCTTTTTTTTTTTTTTTTTTGAGACAGAGTTTCACTCTTGTCACCTAGGCTAGAGTGCAATGGCACAATCTCAGCTCACTGCAAACTCCACCTCCCAGGTTCAAGCGATTCCTGCCTCAGCCTCCCGAGTAGCTGGAATTACAGGCAGCCAACACCACGCCTGGCTAGTTTTTTGTATTTTAGTAGACACAGGTTTCACCACGTTGGCCAGGCTGGTCTTGAACCCCTGACCTCAGGTAATCCAACCACCTCAGTCTCCCAAATTGCTGGGATTACAGGCATGAGACACTGCCCCCGGCCTTGGATAGCTAATACTTTCATCTAGTACAAAAAAAGTTTTGCGGTGAGAAGTCTCCTTCATGGCCTTGTCACCCATCTGCTCAGTTCTCACCACTCCCTAAAAGATAATCACTGTTATTAGTTTCTTATGTGTCCTTCCAGAGCTTCTTTGTACGTAAACATGTACAAAGAAGAATGCATGACAATGCAAACGTGACTCTTATTTTCACACAAAAGGTGGCATAGTGCACTATGTCATGCTGTTTTTCTCTATGGTAGAGTGTCATGGGGATCTTTGCAACCTTTCTCTATCAGAGCAAGGAGATCATTCTCATTCTCTTACTCAGCTACATGGTTTCGCCTGAACCCATCCTATCTTGAGGCTCATCTGGGTGGTTTCCGACCTTTTTCACAAATGATGCTGCAACGAATAGTCTTGCACATAAGTGAGTTCTCACAGTATGAGTGTACCTGTAGGATAAAGCCCCAAAATGGGGCTTGCTGGGCCAACGCTTATATGCATTCGTAATGGTGCCAGTCTTGCCAAATTGCCCTATAGGCAGCAGGTGCTGCCCCCAACCCACAGCCTATCATTAGGATCTTAACCAGGGGGGGTCACTGATTATTTTGGTCTGGGTTTCTTTTGGAATCAGCTCTCTGTCGGAGATCGAGAAGGGATTTCCTTCTGCAGCATGCTGGCCTTCCCCCTTCCTCCAGCCCTGGTCCAGGCGTACACTAAGCCATGCACACATCTTGGCTTAGCCAGCAGCGAAAAGGCCTTTCCAACTTTCCTAGCCCAGCACATCTGTGCAGGGGTCTGCACAACCACACACAGAAGCCCTGTTCATGCTTGTGACTGTCTCCCTTTCTCTCCTGCCCCTTCTCAGAAACAGTCAATAAGGATGGAGCTCCTTTGCCCCCAAACCCCTGCCACCACCACACAAATACACAAAAATCCCTTCTGAAAAAACTAACAGTAGAGCCCTAAAGGAAGAAGTACATCTTTCCATGTTTACTATTCAACAGATCCATGAGAGCCTACTGTGAAGCTGGCACCTGCTAAGAGCTGCAAATGTGACCTTTGATGTTGGCCAAGTCTCTTGATATTCAGGCCCAAGTGCCCTCTTGAGTAAGAAGGCGTATGGACTCTGAGGATTCCAAGTTTCCTTCTAGCTCCAATGACCTACCACCCCCAAATTGTGCTGTCATTGCATGTATATATCAATGGAAGAAGGCTTGGAAACACTTCCACAGGCTGACAAATCATGGCACTTGTTTGCAAGAATGGCTTCAAAGAGATCAACCCGGAGAGCCCTTTGCAAGCTGGTGAAGAGTTTTGCACATGCGTGCGTGTGTGGTGTGTGTATGCATGTTCAGTGAGGTCTCCCATGACCCCCTGCCAACTACATGAAGGCTAGGTTTTGGATCAGCCAGTCCTTGTTGGAAATCCTGATATGACCACTTGTGAATTGTGTGAAATTGTGCCTCTACTTGCCCCTTTATGGAAATGGGCATCTTCACATTTCTCTCAGGTGGCTATTGTGAAAATTGAATGAGATCTTTTAAAGTGTGGGCACCTAGCAAGTGCTCAGCAAACATGATCTGATTTCCTGGGAGTGTCCGAAAGCCAGCTTGTGGGCTGCCACGCAAGGGCAAGCCAGGGTCAGGCTTGGAGGCGGACCGGCTCGGTGCCCCCCAGCCAGGCTGCTGGTGAGTCTGGCGCCACCGTGAGCAGGGGCCCTGCGCTCTCCCTCCTAGGCGTCTGGACAGGCCGGGGAGGCAGACGAGGCAGGCGAGTGACAGCTGGGAAGGTTTAATTGCTCCTCAGTGGCTTGGGAGCACCTCCCTCCCTTGCCAACGATCTGCATTTCAATGTGAGAAGAGTGGGAAGTGGGATGCTGCTCAAAGGGGTTACAATGATTAATCATTTAAAAAGCAAGATCTTAATTACAGGCCGCAATTTTTGCTATTTAAGGAGTCCATTAGTTGCCAGAAAGAAGAAGAAAAAATTATCACAGGTTATTCTCCTCAGAAAGTAGGGTGGAGGGGGGAGGGACAGCAGGGGAGGGAATCAGCTGCTGCTTCAGATGGAGTGGGGGGCAGGGGTCCTACCCCAGGAAGGGGCCTGGGCAGGAGCAGGATGGGCCCTGCCTTGGTGTGTGGGCAAGGGAAAAAGCTGTTCAGAGGCCCCTGTCTCTCCCCAGCTTGGGCCTGCCTGGAATCCCACCTGTGGGTGTCCCGGGAGGCCTCCTCCTGGGCGTGGCAGCTGGTGGTCGGCCCCTCCCCACCCCCACTGACCCCTGACTCCACCCTGCTCAGGATGCAGGGTTAATTGCCAGGCCCTCCCCTCTGACCCCTCTGTGGATTTTAGTCTTGTCTGGTCTCTCAGCCCCTAGGGTATACAAAGGGGACTGGTGGGGCAACAGTGTTAGGAGTCAAATAAAAACAACCAAGCTTTAGTGGATTAATTGACTGATCCTCAGGGGGCTAACAGGTCAGAAGATCAAGGGCTAGCTTCCCTACCCTGGCCACCTAGAGGTCAGGGCACACTTCTGCCTCAGAGGAGGGCACTGCTGCCCACCCAGGAGATCCAGATCTGAGCTCCAAGCCTCCTCCTGAGCCCTGGCTGGCGGCACGCTGGATCCTAGAAAACAGCCCCAACGAAAAAGGGGGCCCCACCAGTGGCAGGCTGGTGCCGTGCGGTCAGAGACCATTCCTGGGGCTCATCCTGCAAGGAATGCCAGAAACCCCAATCCAGATTGCAGTGTGCCTGATGCTACAAGTGCCGACGAAATCAATAACTTGGATGAGTGAAAAAATGAAAAGTGTGAGCTGGAACCAGGCTTCAGGCTATCCTTATTCCTATGATACCATATGTTCAAAACATGCTTGCAAGCAAGTTGCAAAGTTTACCAGCCTACCTAGAGGAAGGGTTTATTCCCCGCCAAGCCTCCTCGATATTGGGAGTAAAATAAATGAAATCTCCTCTATAAACAGTCCCTCCTGCCAGGCGGATTAAATGGCTCTGTGTGTGTGAGTCTCTATGAGCCTCATCTGTTCTAACATTTAGGCCCCCAGAGGGCAGGCTTCTAAATTGGATTGAATGATAACCCTAGGGATTTGGGGGAGTGGGGGAAGAGAAGACCCTAAGCACAGACTGACAACCTGGGTTGGAAATCAAAATAACCCAACTGATTTCTTGGTGACTGTACCTTTGTCCCTGCCTCCTCCATCCTCAGACCCACCTACCATACTGCTGAGGGGAGGAGAGCGTCTGTGTCTTTAATTGCCCTATTGCCACCTCCTGGGGTGTGAGCTGCACAAACCTACCTCTAGCTTCTTCTGGTCCCCCTATCGCCCCCACCAATGCTGATTAATTACAGGGTTAGGCACCCAAAACAGGCAGTGACCAGTGCCTTTCACTGATCACTGCCTTGAAGCCACGGTAATCAGCAGTTTTAGCTTGTCGCTCTCTTGACACTCTACTTAGATCAGGAAATGGCAAACGTGATGGAAATAAGGACTTTATTAACTGTTTCCTCCTTTCCTAGTGATGGGGTGATGGGCAGGTGGGGAGCTGGGATTGGAGGATCGAGAGGGGTGTCGGACATTTGGAAGCCTTCAACCGGTTGCCACCCGGGCAGGTGATGTGCAGACCCCGGAGCGACCGTGGAGCATAGCCCGGGACTTGCTGGCCGCACCTCCACGCACGGATCTCTTGCGCAGGTCATCCAGGCCTCTCATCTGCCACTGGGGATGGGATCCCGGCTCCGCCTGCCTCTGAGAGCTGACAAACATCTGCACCAGGGAAGGTGCTTTAACCCCAGGGAGTCCCCAAGGGCTTCTGGGTAGCAGGCCATCCTCTCTTCTGGTAGGGCCTGTGCCCCATCTCGGCTGCTGGCCCCTGCAAATCTTTTGTGAAGATTAGGAAAGGGCGCCCCCTTGGGGCAGATGCAGCCCTCGCAGGGCACAGAGCTTAGGAATTGGGGGAAGGCCCGATTTTAGCCCAGCACAGCCCCTCAGGGGCCTGTTAAAGGTGCTGTCAGGTCCTTCCTTCCCTTCAGTCTTCACAACAGCCCCTAAAACAGGCAGGTTGGTATCTGACACATGCAGAAACTGACGCTCCCTGTTCCAGGGTGCTCTCCTGCAAAGGGCCTCATGAGGCCTAGGACCTAGAGTCTCATATCTCCCAGGTAGACACCCCGGCAAGCTGCCACAGCACCCCCACCCCACAGAGACTTAGGATGGCATCAGGACCCAGTCATGAAGGGGGGCAGGTGACTCCCAGGCAACCCAGCCACCACCTACTACCTTCCCAGGGGGTGGCAGGCGGCAACCAGAACCTAGAGCCCCTGCCGCTACCCCCGCTGACACAGAGCACCCTCAGCTGCCCCGTGTAAGCCACTGAAACCTGGCTCCAGAAGCACATTAGAGGGTCCCAGCCACCACCATGGTCTCTGACCGCACGGCACCACATACCACAGACCCTGTGAGACCCAGGAACCCAAGCAAGACGACATCGTCTTGCCTGTACACAGCAAACTTCCCCGCCCTGGAGCTGGCCTACTGCCCCCCGCCCCTTTCTGCTTTTCCAGTAGGGTCAGTGGCTTTCAGGCATTGTCCCAGGAGGGTGGGGGCTGGAATCCTCACCAGGAGAACCCCAGCACCAGCCCCGGCAATGACTGGATGCCAAATGCTTGACTCCTTTTTTCATTTCTATCATATCCACAAATATGTATTGAACCAGGCACCAGGCCCTACCCGAGTGCTTGGGATCCACCAGTGAAAACAACCAATACCCCTGCAGTCTCAGAGCTGACATCCGAACTTGACTCAAAAGCATGAATAGGTGGGTCGGGATCATGGTTGGCTTCATGCCTTTGCTCAAATGTCACCCTCTTAATGAGGCCTTCCCTGGCCCATTTGCAATGGCGGCCCCAGCACACCCTGTTCACCTTCCTGCTTTATTCCTCACCTTCAGCTCATCTCTATGATGTACTTATTTATCTTGTTTATTGCCCACCTCCTCCACCAGAATGTCAGCTCTGTGAGGCAGGGATGGTCATGTGTTTTGTTTAGAGCTGTATATCATGATGCCTGGATCATCATGCTCAATAAAGGGGCTCAATAAAGGTTGTTGAATAAGTGAACACTCAGCCTTGCTTCACTGACCGGCTCCTTCCTGTGCGGCCTCAGTTCCTCTCTCAGTTCCTCTCCCAAGCCCCACCCACAGGTGCTCCCCTCAGGCTGTAAGGTTTGCTCCGCCCTCCTGGCTCCACCCCTCCCTATGCCCAGGATTAGTGGGAAGCCACAGTGGCCTTGGGAAGAGCATGGGCATCTGGGTGCCCTAGACCTCACCCAGGCCACTGACCCTGATCTGCCCACTGGGCCTGCCTGACCTGGTGCTGGCTTTGTGCCCACTGCCCCAGCTGTGCCCTCCCTCTTCCTCCCCTCCCTCCTCCCTGACACAGCAGGTGGACAGAGCCTGTGCAGCTCTAGCTGCATTGCCTCAGGGGGCAGCTTTCTAGCTTCTGGTGACCTGCCACCCTCTCACTCCCCTCTGAGCTCATGGCACAGTGGACAGCTACCAGCCTGGCTCACGGCAACCTCCAGCTCCTGGGCTCAAGCGATTCCCCCTGCCTCAGCCTCCCAGGTAGTTGGGGCTATAGGTGTGCACCACCACACCTGGCTAATATTTAAAATTTATTTATTCATTTATTTATTTTTTTGAGACAGAGTTTCGCTCTCGTTGCCCAGGCTGGAGTGCAATGGTGCGATCTCGGCTCACTGCAACTTCCGCCTCCTGGGTTCAAGTGATTATCCTGCCTCAACCTCCCGAGTAGCTGAGATTACAGGCACCTGCCGCCACACCTGCTAATTTTTGTATTTTCAGTAGAGACAGGGTTTTACCACATTGGTCAGGCTAGTCTCGAACTCCTGACCTCAAGTGATCTGCCTGCCTCAGCCTCCCAAAGTGGTGTAAAAAATTATTTTAGAGACGGAGTCTCGCTATGTTGCCCAGGCAGGTCACAAACTCCTGGGCACAAGGGATCCTTCCACTTCAGCCTCCCAAAGTGCTGAGATTACAGGATTGAGTCACTGCACCCGGCTTACCATTTTCAAGCATGTTGACATTCAGGATTGGGCCTGAGCCCCTGAAACCAGCATGCAGGTAGCCAGGGCAGGATTGCAATGCCCATTTTACAGAGGCGGGCCCAGAACTCACAGAATGAGGCTCATACATCTCATACCTGAGGCTTGGACCCAGAGCTAGTCTCGGAAGGTTCTGGAGCCCTTTGGGCTGGGACACAGTCCCTGCTGGGATCAGGGACCCGATGCCACCCTCTGGTGAGAGAAGCAGCCCAGTTTCTCCCTGCCCATCTCTGAAGATCCTTGCAGTTTATTCACCAGTTCATTCAATTCTCATTTTCCCAGAGACAGTACATGTCACAGAAGATTCAAGCATACTCCTGAACAGGAAACTTTTCTGGGACTCAAGTTTCTTTACCTGTAGAAGGGGCTTAATGATAGCATGTATTATTGTTAGTACTTATTATTAGTAATAGAATATAAGAGGTCATTGTGAAGAGTCACTGAGGCATGGTATATAACATGTTCTGCACATTGTCTGGTACATAGGAAACATTCATTATATTCATTAAATAGTAGCGATTTTTATTCTGGGTCTAGGCATAGAGATGCAGCTGGGTGAGAGACATAGACTCCCTTGCTCTGGAAGCCTTGTGTCCCCTGGGGAAGCCACAACCAGAGTGTCAGCATGCAACATGCAGGCCCACCCAAGGAGAAGCCTCGCAGAGGGGCAGCTAAGTCAGCCAATGGGGCCACAAAGGCGCAAAGGCGTCCTAAAAGAAGGGACCACTAAGACCGGATGCATGCTCAGGAGCAGTCCAGGCAAGGAAGGAGGGATGGTGTCTTGCCCAAAGGCACGGCAGGTGCTAACGTGGGTCTGCTGGGGCAAGCGGAGGCAGACGGAGGCCAGCTTCAAGAGGCCTGTGCAAGCCCCTCTGGAAAGCTGGGACTTCTGGGGGCACTGGGGACATGGCACAGCTGAGCTCAGAGAACAAGAGGGTAGATAGAGAAGGAAGAGGGGCTGTAGAGAGAGGTGATGGCAGAGGGAAGAGAGGGGCATGGAGAGGGGCCAGGTGAGTGGGGTGCCCTCAGGCACTGGATCAGAAAGTCTGGGTGTGGGCTGGGGCGGTGGCTCATGCCTATAATCCCAGCACTTTGTGAGGCCGAGGTGGGTGGATTGCTTGAGGTCAGGAGTTCAAGACCAGCCTGACCAACATAGTGAAACCCCGACTCCACTAAAAATACAAAAAAATTAGCCGGGCATGGTGGTGGGTGCCTGTAATCCCAGCTACTTGGGAGGCTGAGGCAAGAGAATCGCTTGAACCTGAGAGGTGGAGGTTTCAGTGAGCCGAGATCGTGCCACTGCACTCCAGCCTGGGTGACAGAGGGAGACTCTGTCAAAAAAAAAGAAAAAAGAAAGGCTGGGGTGTTTACCATCCAGCAAAGGGAGGTAAAGTGATAGGGAGAGGGGTCCTCTTTTCCAACTCAAATGGAGATGCCATATGGGCTAGCTCTGGTGCTGCAGGCAGGACCCCCGTGAGCACTCCCTCTGGACCCAAGCCCTGTTCTGGGAAGGAGTTGCCCGGCTTCCCGATAGCAGTCCTCCAAGCTCTGAGCACTCTTGGGCTGGTGAGCCAGTATGGGATGAGGAGGGGATCCCCTGGTGGTCCTCCCAGAATCCTACCCTCCAAGAGCCAGGACTGTGTGTCATCTACTGTGTGAACTCACAAAACTGTCTTCCCCAGTCTGGGTTTCAGTTTCCTCATCTGTCAAGTGGACCCATTTCTTTTCTCCCCTCAGGTCCTAGTGTTGGCACACATTTAGTCTGGGGTGCTCAGCCGACCAGCACCAGGGTCTCCCTGCCACCTGGATCCCTTACTGCTCCCACACCAAGAGGACCTGTGACCCACGAGTGCAGGGAAGCCATGTGAACGGCAAGAACCTAGTTGCTGGACTGAGCAGCCTCCTGCAGACATTCTGGTCTACACCGACCTGGCTCAGCCGGAGTCAGCCCCTCTCTAGAGCTGGCAAGAGGCCCAAGCTTAGCGCCTCTTCCAGAGGGGGTAGCCCATTGCCCTCCCATATCTGACAGGTCTCCTTGTGCTCCAAGGGGCAGTGAGGGGTTGGAGTGTCTCTTGCTGCCTCTTTTCTGGCCTCATCCCCACAGCTGTGGCTGCACTCTCACCGCTACCCTGAGCTTCTGTGGATGCTGAATTCATATGAAATCTCAGAGGGAGGGCTCCTGGGTGGGCAGACAGATGGGAAGAGGAGATGCTCCAAGGCTTTCCTCCCTGACCCTGCTCTCCCAAGATTGTCCTCTGCCCTCATGTGCGGGGCCTGAGCAAGCAGGACAGGCTGCCTGGTTGAACTGGTGGTCTCATCTCAGGCAGGATCTAGGTGTATGATGTGGCCTCAGGTCTGGGCTGACAGAGGACAGTCTGGTATAACACAGAGGCCCCTGTGGGACCTCAAGCAGGCTCTGGGGAAGTCAGTGACCAGTGAGTCCTGAGCAGGACGGAGCTAGAGCTAATGACTCCAGCAGATCTCATGAATGCTCAGAGTTGGGCCCGGCACAGTGACTCACGCCTGTAATCACAGCATTTTGGGAAGCTGAGGCAGGCAGATCACTTGAGGTCAGGAGTTCAAGACCAGCCTGACCAACACAGTGAAAAGTACATAGCAAAATACATAGCAAAAAATACAAAAATACAAAAAAATTAGCCAGGCGTGGTGGTGTGTGTCTATAGTCCCAGCTACTTGGGAGGCTAAGGCAGGAGAATGGCTTGAACCTGGGAGGCAGAGGTTGCAGTGAGCCGAGATTGTGCCACTGCACTCCAACCTGGACGACAGAATGAGACTAGATGTCATATGACTTAGCATGCCAATGCTTAAAGGCTTAAGGAGAGGAGAGGAGGAGGTGAGTGAGACTATGTGACTATGTCTCAAAACAAACAAACAAAATAACAACAACAACAACAAAAACACAGGTGAGAGTTGAGCCAACCCAGGCTGAATCCTTGCTCTTCTGCCTTCTAGCCGTGTGACCTTGGACAAGTCATTGGACTTCTCTGTGTTTCAGTTCCCTGTGCAAAGTAAAAAGCAACAGTAACACCTATTCTAAAGGGTTGATATCACGGAATAGATATAAAGTACCTGGCACAGGACCTAACACTGAGTAGTTACTCAATTAATGGTAACTATGATTATTTGTATTCCCATGGACAAGTGGCTACATGGTACTTCAGTGCCCTGAGCTATGTGACCTTGGGCAAGTTGCATACCCTCTCTGGGCCCATCTGTAAAATGAGGGACTTCAGTAGAGGAAGCCCAAGACCTCCCTTTGATTTAAGCTTTCTGATTTGTGGGCACTCTGGGTTGATAAGAGGAGACTGCTCACTACATTGTTTATATGAGCTTCAAGTCCTGGGCCCTTGGAGAGGACTGGAGGTAGAAGAAGGAGGAAGAGGGATGGAAGAAGGAGGGGACAGAGGGCCCGAGGAAGAAGAGGATGTGAAGCAGGAGGAAGGAAAGAAAGAAGGGGAGGAGGACTGGAGGGGAAAGCAGAGGACAGGGAGAGGAAAAAGGGGTAGAGAGGAAGAGAAGAAGAAAGAGGAAGAGGAGAAAAGGGAGGAGGAATAGAGAGGAAGGGAGAGGAAGGAAAATAGAAAAGAGAAAAGGAGGAAGCACAGGAGAAGGGGGTGGAAGAGAAGGAGAAGAGAGAGGCAAGGAAGAGGCATGAGAAGGAAGTGTCAGCAGCAAGTGTTCGGTCACTGCAGAGAAGTCCAGAAACGAGCTTGCTCCCGAGGACACCAGAAGGACCTGGGCTTTTTGGAGGCTAGAGCAGGGCTGGTTCTCTCTGGAGGGCTGATATCCTGAGCCTGGCCCCTGGGGCTAGGAATGCCCTTCTGGATTCCAGGAAAGGACCTCTGGACCTTGAGTCACTGCCTCGTCAAACCCAGAAGAAAACAGATTGGGTGAAAGCCATTGGCCACTAGGTGGGCCAGGATTTCCTTCAGGAGTGCTCCCGGGGCATATGGATAAGCCCAGGAGCGCCATCCTCAGTCCCTCTGTGGGGGTGAGAGGTGGACAGAGAGGTAAGGGATGAAACCAGGGTGAAGGGCTTTTCTGGCCCTTTCCTAGACAGGCCAGAGCCTTTAGACTGAGCAGAAGGGGCCACCCCCAGGGGATCGGCCGAGGCTGGGTTCCCAGAGAGCCCCGGTACCTGGGCAGGCCAGGCAAGGCAGCCAGCCCTGGAGTAGCCTCTGCAGCCTCGGCCATGTAGTTCACCCCTCTGGCATTCCCTGCTCCCTTTCCTGAAGGGGAAGCACAGACTTAAGTGTCAAAGATCCACTACCTTGAATTCCACTGTGAGACCTCGAGAAAGTCACTTGACTCCTTTCAGCCTTGGTTGTCTATAAGAAGGGGTAGTACTAGTGCTAGAAGGACTAAGTGCAGTGATGGCGGCCCAGGGCTTAGCATGCCAATGCTTAAAGGCATAAGGAGAGGAGAGGAGGAGGTCAAGATGCCTTTCCTTCTCCCTCTTCCCTCCTTCACTCTGTCCTTCCTCTGGTGCAGGTGCTGAGTGCTCACAGCAGGCACGAGGACCCTGCAGGCATGCCTTCCGGTCCATTCCCAGGCCGTACCCCACTTTCCAGCTGCCTCTTGGGGTGGCCCACACTCAATCCACCACCCCAGGCTGCCTGCATATCAGCAAATCCTCCAAAAATACTTTGCAGCGGGTGAATGGAGCACACGGCGTCTTCCTGGGTCCTCCCTCGCCACCCCAGTGGTAAGCCTGGGAACCCTTTGCCCGTGTGTGTCCAGGATGGGCAATGGAGGAGCAGTAAGTCCATGGCCTCTGTGAATGGCTGGGCCCCCTGGGGGACGGGGGAGCTGGGATAGGCTAGATGAATAGATCTTGGGCCCGGAAGTAGAAGGTCTGGGTCCCTGGCTGCCTAGGAGGGGGCAGAAGCCTGCCTTCTTGAGGAGCCTGGGAAACCCTCTCCCAGGCAGGCCACAGGCAGGGGTGGAAAGTCAGGGCCCGCGGGGGCTTTGTGCCCTGCACAATTGCAGCCGCTCTTCTGGATAAAGGGACGGACAAAGGGGCCTTCGGAAGTGGCCACGCTGCTCAGCCCCAGGGAGGCCCCAGGAAACCGGCTCTCACTGGCCGCCCACTCAGGCATCCTCTCCACACCCCCCACCACCCACCAGGGGGGCCAGCTGGGCCCCAGCCACCCACAGCCTGGGCAGCTGCATTGGGAGTGAAGGAAAGTTCCTTTGCCCAAGGGACCTGGAAAGGACCAGAAGAGCCCCAAGGAGGGTTGAGTTTGGGGGTGGGGGAATGCTGCTTTCTTACTTCCCAGGACAGCAGCAGGAACGGGCGACGGAGGAGGGTGGGCTTAAGAATGGCCTTCAGGCCTCTGATGAACCATGGGCTACTTTTAAGTCTTCCCCCATGAGGAGCCACTGGTTTGCAGACAGAATGCAGCTCCTGCAGGCTTTGAAACAGCTCCTCTTCCGAACTATCCTCACATCACAGGACCCATTTCCTTAGCCAGCTGGTTTGTCAGATACAGGCACAGTACTCCAGCAAGCACCCCCAAAGCACCCCAACTCGGAATTCAACAAGACTGGGCTCTGCAGTTCTGGCTGTGGGACCTCAGCAAGCTTCACAACCCCACTGATCCAAGGTTTCTCCATCTCTCATACAAGTTAGAGCTACTGCTTGTAGGATGGGGAGTGCATTAAACGAGGTGCCTGGGATCAAGCCCCTGACATTCATGACGATCTGGTCTCTAAATAGTAGTTATGTTCCTTAGGCCCCGTGTGAATATGGAATGGTCATTAACTGCACGTTAGCTGTATTCAGAAGCAGTGTTGGGCTACGGTTTCCAGCAATCTTAGTAAGCAGAGTATGTTGAGGGTAAAGAGATGGGGGTGGTAAACACTCGTGCTACAGCATCCACCTGCCTTTTAATTTTGAAATGACTTTAGATTTGCAGAAACATTGCAGATGGTACAGTGAGATTCCCCTAACATTAACCTCTTATATCGCCATGGTACATTTGCCATAACTAAGAAATTAACATTGTTATAACACCATGGACTAAACTCCATACTTATTAGGATTTCACCAGTTTTTCCGGGAATGTGCTTTGTTCTAGGATCCAGTCCAGGGCACCGCATTGCGTTCAGTCACCTGTGTGTCATGGATGAAAGAGCAGAAGGCCCCCTCTTCATCAGCTTTGCTCACTCCCGGAAGGCAAGGCCCGTTTCCTGGAGTGGGGAAACGACCCACACAAGCCCCCTGTCCTGCTGAGTCTCCCCATCAGGAAGTGGGTTTCCTAAGCTCATCAGTGCATTCAGGAGCTCCCTTCCCAGAGCTCTAGACTAATGAAGGAGTTCTGTGGCTTCTTGCTAGCATGGAAAGCTGAGGAAAGAATGTCAGAACAGAAGCAGACCACACAGATGGGAAACGGGACACCCAAAGCATCTGAGAGGCCCTGTGTCCCTGCTGCTTGGTACACACACACACACACACACACACACACACACACACACACACACACAGCCCCAAATCAGACCTTCCTGTAGCTCAGAGAGTGGTTCAGAATCCAGAACTCTTTTCCCCAACTCCAATCACTTGAATGAGAATAAGAATGAGTCCCAGCCCATCCCCCAAGCCCACACCTGCCACTCCTCCCACAGAGCTGGTTGTGGTGCCTGGATGTGGGCACTTCTGGGTCCCAGCCCACCCTGGAAGCAAGAGTCAGCCAGGCTCCCAGGAGCAGTGGAGGGAAGGCCCCCTTGGCGTGGGTGAAGACAGGACAATGCCCACTTTTTCAGGCAGCTGGCAGAGCCTGCCAGGCCCTGGGTGTCTGAATGCCCATTGGAGCCAGACACTGGACTCTGTTTCCCAGGCAGCCCTGTGCCAGCACCTGCCCCCACCCAGAGAGAAGGAGCCTTTCTTTCCTGCTGGCCAAGGCCAAGGCTCCCAAAAGAGCATCAGCGGCAAGAGGGGCTGACCTTTGTTCAGGAAACTGGAGTTTCCTGGCCACCCGTACCCCACCTCCACTTGGGAACCTTGGAGCTGGAAAGGGAAGTATGTGTAAGGGCCTCAGTTCCCCTCTGTGAGTCTGCCCTGCTCCCTCCAGACTCTGAAGCTGCAGGACTGCCAGCCGGCCTTGGCAGACCCCCTCCCTGCCCCCACCCCACCCCACCTATTCATCAAGGGCTCTGAATGCTAAAGACCTTCACAAGGCTCATCCTGTTGGCCTTGAAAGGGACTCACATTAAAGACTGCTGCAGGGTGCATTTGGAGGGAGGGAGGGAAGAAGGGATTCCAACTGGAGTGACTGTGCCCACTTGGAAGGTTGCAGAATTGAGACCCACAGAGGTACCTGATGATGAGCCCAGGCTCCCCAGCTAGGGGAGGGACATGGATTGTGTCTCCAGACACCAGTTCAGGATTTGAGTTGCATGTGGCTTCCAGGCCATTTGCTCTAATGACTCACACCACTAGTTCTGTATAAGGACGTGGATCAAGGTATCCTCAAGGGGCCTTGGATACTGCTGGGGTTATTTGCTATCCAATCCTGACAGTTCCATTTGGGCCCCATGGATGAGCAAGTGCAGGGCCAGCTGGGATTTCTGGAAGGCCTGGGACTCACCCAGAAAATAGCCTCGGAGACATTTTGGTGTGGCTGTCCAGAAAGCCAGGCTGTGGGGCACCCTCTTCCATCAGGCCAGCTCTGGGAGATCCCTAAGCCTGAGAACTGAGGGCAGCAACACCCCAACACCCCTCCCTGACAGCCCCATCCACTCACCCCTAGGCCAGAGAGAGGGAGCAGGGGTGGATCTTGTGCCTGTCACACACACCGCTGACATGTACAGAAACATACGCACAGAGACACTAGACCCCCTCACCAATAGATGCAGGGAGACACAAAGATGAACACACACACACACAAGCACACAGCAGACAATGGCTGTTGGATCTTTATCATGGGCACTGTGATGTGTGCCTGGCCCTGATCATCTCATTTACTCCTCACACAACACACAAATATACGTAGAATGGGACCTAAGCAGAGAGACCAAGACACACATATTGGAAACCCAAAGACAAATACCTCACAGACTCAGACACACAAAAAGGACAACCAAACCATGGACCCACAAAGATAAACACACCAGTGGTGTCCCAAGGGCCAGGAGGTAGGACAGAGCCAGCCAGGAGCAGGCAAGTACTTTGTCTGCAGAGAATTTAAAAGTCACCATGCTTTTGATTATCAACTTGCACTGCAATTCCTTAACCGTGTCCGTAAAACAATGCTCCATTCCCCTCCCCAAATTATTCTGTTAATTCTTACCTGTTTTATTCCAATTTTTTTATTGGGGTAAAGTATGCATAACACAAAATTTATCATTTAACTGCTTTTTCATTGTGATGTTTTAATGATTTTTAAGTGTGCAATTCGTTGGCATTAAGTACATGCACGATGTTGTGTGACCATCACCACGATCCAGGACTTCTTCATCATCCTAAACAGAAATTCTGTACCTATTAAACAATAACTCTCCATTCCCCATCTCCCAGTTCCTGGTAACCTCTATTCTACTTTCTGTTTCTGCGAATTTGCCTTTTCTAGGTACCTCACATGAGTAGAATCACACATTTATCTTTTTGTGTCTTAAACTGTTTATTTTATTTTTATTAGTTATTTATTTATTTTTGAGATGGAATTTTGCTCTTGTCGCCCAGGCTGGAGTGCAGTGATCTCGGCTCACTGCAACTTCTGCCTCCCAAGTTCAAGCAATTCTCCTGCCTCAGCCTCCCGAATAGCTGGGATTACATATGTAGGCTTCAAATATGCACATTTATATTACTTATCCTTTAGTTAACCTTGTGTTCTACGTGAAAGTTAATTCCAAGAACTCCTGGCTCCGCAGTTGGCCTCTAGACAGGTTTTGATGGTTGGCATCTACCAAGTCACTTCCGGTGCAGGCTGTGTCTCCAGGCCCTAGCTCCATGATAATGAAGTTGTAGAACAGAACTTGAATTGCTTAATTTTATTTGTGACTAAAATTTAAAACTGTGAATCAGAGAGCAAGCTGTGAAGCTGCAATAGTTTTTGTTTGGAAAATGCAAATTTTACATTATATAGGGAATATTTTATTGAATTTGAACAATACGTTTAAAGTTGAAGTCTCTTCTTTGCAGATTATTCGTATTTTAGTCTTATTTAATTCTAATGTAATGTTATTCATTACTGGGACAAATCAGTATGTAAGTATATTCCCCCCCTTTGTTTAAATAATGTAATTTAAAACTATTTGCCCATTTTTTCCCTTTTTTAACTATAATGACTATTTCTTATTTTATTTATTTTTGAATTGGCATGAGTTTATATAGGAAATTCAATAAAAGAAAATTTTGGCTGCCTGCCATTTATTGTTACTCATTTCATGATTACTACTGCCAATAATTTTGTCTTATAGAAGAGGGCAGGTGTTAAAAATCTGCTCAGGGTATATGCTAGGTACCCCCTGAGACAGGTGTGCGTGCACACACACACACACACACACACACGGGCACGTGCACCCTCTGCTAAGTGCCCAAGTCCGCTAATCACGAGTGGGTGGGTCTCTCCAGCCAATAGTAGTCCCGGTGGTGGGAGGGTGGGTCCCAGATTGGGCGCCGGCGGACAAGGTGGGGTCGGGAATGGACGGCAGGAAGGAATAGAAGAGGATTCAGGCCCCAGTGAAGGTCCTGAGCCACAAAGACCGCCTCTGCCGCCTACTCCTGCCCCTTGCCCCGTCTCTGCTGCACTTCCGAAATCTACCACGAGGTGTCGCTGTGGCAAAGCGATCCCCGCCTCCGGACGCTTCCGAACTCTCTCGGCGACGTTTGCTGAGCGCCCTCGGTGCCAGGTACCGTGACTGGCCCTGGGGAGTCCAGACAAATGAGGTACAGCCTCTGTCCCTGAGCACCGCACAGCCTGGCGGGGGGCTCACAATGGGATCTAGGTGTGCACAGCCTGGCGGCGAGCGAGGACGTGGAAGGGCGCTCAGAAGCGGCTGCGTCACGGAGGGCCTTTAGTCCCAGCCGGAAAAGCTCAGGCTTTCCCACGAGGCGAGCAAAGGTCTGAGCGGACGTGTGCTTAGAAAGGCGCTCTGTGTGCTATTATTTGTGTTTTAAAAACGAAGGAAGGGTGCAAAATAAAGACCATACATTGTGAGTGTTCATAGGATATATCTGGAAGATATTTTAAAATGGGGGACATTTGTGTCCTCAGAAAATGAGATTCGTGGCTGGGCACAGGGATGGGGTAACTTTCACTCCGTGTATTTTGTTCATTTTGAGCTATGGAAATGGATCAACTTTCTGAAAAATACATGAAACAAAAACTATTAAATTAAAATTTGTAAAGTCTTTATAATAAAAACAAGTCAGTTAAGATCATTTCAACTGTGTTGTGTAAGATGAGCTGGAGAGACAGAGGCGGAGGCAGGGAGACCTTCAGAGCTGGGCATTGGTCCTGGGGAGGAGTTGGAGGAGACCTGGCCTGGTGGGGAGGTGGGGTGTGAGCACACCGCTGGGCTCTCCAGCAGTGATGACAGGCACAGGGCTTGGCTTATGGATTTTTCTGGGGCAACAAAAATATAAGGGCATGAAAAACAGAAGTATTGCTCCCAGATTTTAAAAAGGAAACTACAAAATCCAAATGAACAAATGTTTAATTAGATGTCTACAGAATGGAACTCATGCCAACCAGCCAATTGTCACATAATTCACAGAGCAGAATGTGAGTGCATTTTGATAGGTTTGACATGTTGCGGCAGGGAAGCCCAGTGGGGGATCCCCAGGACCTGCCTCCATTCTATACTTCCAGGGCTGAAGCCAGGCACCAGGGAGGCTCAGAAGTCACATCCCATACCAGGAGCAAGTTTCTGAGGCTTGGATACTCTTAGATATCCTCATGCCAAAGCCCCCTCCTGCCCCAAGTGAGGAGTCTGAGCAGGCCAGGTTGAGGGCAGCCCCCAACAGCAGGGCTCTTTCAAGGGTGTGTGTGTGGAGCAACAGTGGTGGGATAGCATCAGTGAGTGGAAACTACACCACAATAGTCAAGCCCACTCCCTGGACAGAAAAGGAAGCTGAGCCCAGAGCAGGGCAGGGACTGCCCCAAGGCCACACAGCCAGTTAGTTGGTGCACTGAGACTCATCCTGTCAACTCTGGCTTCCAGATCTTGGTGGCCTCCACTGGATCACATTGATGCCCTGCACACCCCAGTCCTGAAGCCAAGAGAGGACCTTCAGGGACCTCTTGGCCTTCCTCAGACAGCACTGCCAGCTATTCATGACTCCAGAGGGTTATTTGGTGGGATTTAGGAGAAAGTCCACATCCCAGGCCTTGCAAATGGCTGTGCCTCCTGGGGAGAGGAGTGGAGGGGAGGGCTTGTCCAGGCTGCTGGACATTTGCCAAGTCTCAAGGCACAAGCCTGTGAGCTGGCCTTCCTGTGTCACAATTCTCTCACCACAGCAGGCCTCCGTCACCAGCTCACCCTGCCCCACAATCCTGGTGCATGCAAAGGCATCTGGATTCCCAGGCTTGATTACATAAAAATTTAAAACTTCCATGAAGCAAAAAATACCTCATATGAAGGTAAATGAAAAGTGACCAATGGAAGAAGATGTCTACAACATAAGTAAAAGAGGAATGATATCTATAATATGTAAAGAGTTCTTATAAGTTAATAATTTAAAAAAATATGAGTAACCCAACAGGAGGCAAGGGTCCAATGAGGTAATAGCAGGAAAGGAGCTTTGCAGGAAGAGCTGGATATGTTTGAGGGTGAGTGTCCTGGGAAAAGTTGAGAGGAGGAAGCTTATTCTCTCCTGGTAGGCACAGAACCAGAACTGAACCATCTCTGTCTATTCTTTCTTTCTGACTGAGAGGCATGAATATTCCCTATGCCAGTCAGCTCAATGGAAAACACACACACATACACACGCACATATATACACACACACATACACCCCCTAAGCAAACGTCCTCCTGAGAGCCCTTCTGTGAGTCTTCTAAGATGTTTCAGTCCCACAGAGGGACTCTAGACTGAACCATGAATCCTATGAGTAACAGGTGAGCTTGAGGCCTGGGGAGGACACTTGGCAACCTCCCTACCTCCACTCCCTCTTTCTCCTTCCTAATAGAATCCCAGGCAGCCACCCTATTGCAGGCCCAGCAAAGGATTCATGATTGGACAAGACCACAGGTTTTTGAGAGGAGCAGCTGCATCCCACAGGGTGTTTAAATTTTTGTGGAACATAATTGGTAATGATGGGGGCACTGTGGGCATTTGGTGAGCAGGAATCGAGGTTAGAATTCCTGACAGTTGCACATAGCAAAACTTTGGCCTGAGCCCCACGTGACTTTCAAATGTTCCACTGGACAGAAATGT
Source organism: Homo sapiens (assembly GCF_000001405.40). Classification (NCBI taxonomy): domain Eukaryota; kingdom Metazoa; phylum Chordata; class Mammalia; order Primates; family Hominidae; genus Homo; species Homo sapiens. Next base: position 89,428,268 of record NC_000015.10, on the reverse strand, counting down.
AGGTGAAAAATCTGAGCCTAGAATCTAATCTCATGTGACATATTAATAGAAAGGTTTTTTTGCAAGACTTTCATATATATTGAAAGCATACTGCAGCAAACCGCCACTGTGCACATTGAGGAGGCCTATGCTTTGTTTCACTGGTATCTTCCCAAGAGTTACCACCTCAACACAATCATGTCACTGGTAGCAATGTTACCAGTGGCGCTTTGGTCACCAAAACAACCCACCTATATTTGCCCATATCTGTTGCTACCGCATTCATGGAGCTTTTAGGCGCAGGTGAAAGCATCTGATTGTTTCATTATGTTTTCTAGAATACTTTTGCCTCAGCATGTATCTTGAAATATATTTTATTAATTATACATTTCCTTTTGTTTTTCTTTTAGAGTTAGGGCATTGCATTGCTATTTTTGCAATTACATGTGTAAGTAGGTCCTACTTCTACAGATTTCATCAGGATAGTAATATTTGTTATGAGAAGGGAACCCTGAGCCTAATGGGATCGAGAATGGCTGGCCTGAGCCAGACGGCAGATGGAAATCCCCCGGGGATGACTATGGGTTCGTGGATTGGGTGGAGCAATTTTTGGCATCTTCACTCTTTGGCATGAACAAGGAGGCAACCACACGGGCCTGATGGCTACTGGCAGCCATCTTGTGTTCATGAGGGAAATGTTCCTGAGAATAAAGCCAATGTGGAGAACAGAGGTGGGGGACCTGGATCTTTGGTGATGTCACCGAGCCCTGATGCTATGGCATCCGAGGATACCCTGCCTCTGCATCTCCAGCCCTGTGAGGTAAATGTTCTTATGAGGAAAACAGTGGCAACCAACTGTTAGGTACAATGGCATGAATGGTTTGGGTTAAATGGCACTACTACCTCGGTTTCCCTCAGAAAAAGGGATCTTGGTGAGCATGGATACAGCTTCCTCTTACAGTGATGCCAACATGGCCATTCATGTTTCTGACCCTTTAACGGCCACCTTTAAAGGCCAGACCTCAGAGGAGACAGTAGCAGCTGCAGTTTTCTTCCTGCTATAGGCTTCTCTCCACCTCTGAGAAATGTTCATGGGGCTCAAAGTGGGTGGGGCAGAAAGGCTATGAATCTAGGTCTCCATAAGAGCTTCAGGCTCAGTATCCACTGTGTAAACCAAGAGTGGACCCGAGCCACAGAAAATCCAGCCTGGCAGAATCCCGGCCTGTTGCGCACATCTGGAAGACATGCGGGAACTACCCAGTCCAGCTCCCTGTGTATCAGTCAGGGTAGGCTGTATTATGGTGACAGCAACCCCCCAAATCTCAATGACTTGAAGCAACTATGTTTCATTCCCACTCCTATTTACATGCCCATTGAAGATGGGCAAGAAGCCTCTGCTCATCCAAGTCACTCCGGGACGCAGGCTGCAGGGAGTTCCATGTTGACCCGTACTCTCACCATTCCTGGAAGCAGAAGGAGAGCACAGCAAACCCCAAACTTACTGTCCATTAAGGCTTCTGCTGAAAAATGTCACATATCTCTTCCCCACATTTGATTGGCCAAAACAAGTCACACGGCCATACCTGCCTTCACCAGAGATAGGGCGCATACTCCTCCTGCCAGGAGGGCCAGTAAAGGAGAAGACACTGCATATGAGGACAGTGTACAGCCTCCTACACTTGATTTGTTGTCATCTATGTGGTCACCCTGATTCTACCTGAGCTCCCAGAGGACCTTTCCATGACAGCAGGTCTGACTGTGCTGGCCTCCATGTGAGGGCCTTCAGGGGACCTCATCCCTGACCAGAGGAAATGCAAACCTTCAGCATGGCCATCAAAACCATTCATGAGGCCAGGCACGGTGGCTCATGCCTGTAATCCTAACATTTTGGGAGGCCAAAGCAGCCGGATCACTTGAGGTCACGGGTTCGATACCAGCCTGGCCAACATGGTGAAACCCCATCTCTACTAAAAATACAAAAAATTAGCCGGGCATGGTGGTGCATGCCTGTAATCCCAACTACTTGGGAGCCTGAGGCAAGAGAATTGCTTGAACCTGGGAGGCAGAGGTTGCAGTGAGCCGAGATCATCCCACTACACTCCAGCCTGGGTGATAGAGCAAGACTCTGTCTCAAAAAACAAATAAATAAACAAACAAACAAAGAACAACCACGGTCTAGCCTCTATTTACCTCTCCAACTCCTCCCTCTTTATTTGCTACTTACTCATTCAGCCATAAACATTTACCAAGTGCTTCTGTGTGCTGACCACTGTGCCAAATGCTGAGCATGAAAGGATGTACATCCCTGTGAGCCCCTTAAAAGCCCAGACCACCTCTTGTTCATATCCAAAGACTCCCAGCGGCAGCAGCCTGCCATGTGTTAAAAAAGAATGAGACAGCTGTGTACATCCTGATATGGGACCAACCCTAAAATAGAATGTGAAGTTTAAAAAAGGAAGATGCAAGCCAGCCACAGTGGCTTGCATCTGTAATCCCAGCTACTCCAGAGGCTGAGGTAGGAGGACTGCTTGAGGCCAGGAGTTCAAGACCAGCCTGGGCAACATAGCAAGACCTCACCCCACTACCTCCTTAAAAGATTTTTTTTTTAATTAGCCAGATGTAGTGGCATGCACACATAGTCCCAGCTACTCGGGAGGCTGAGGCAAAAAGATCCCTTGAGCCCAGGAGTTTGAGACCAACTTAAAAACAAAAGCCGGGGACAAGATGCACAACAGGGTGAACAGTGTGCTAACTTTGTTGCACAGTGTGCTTGGACACGTGGAAAATCTCTGGACAGACACAAAATAAACTAATATTAATGACTGCATCTGAGGTGGGGAACCCACCCCAAGGGACTGGGGGACCCACCTAAGAAACTTACCTTTCTTGTCTACCCTTTGTTTAGTTTGAATATTTTACAATGTGCTTTAAAAACAAAAACAACAACAAAAAAAAGTCAGGACCTGCTGCAGTGGCTCACACCTGTACTGCCAGCACTTTAGGAGGCCAAAGCAGGTGGATTGCTTGAGGCCAGGAGTTGGAGACAAGCCTGGACAATATAGCAAAACGTCATCTCCACTAAAAATACAAAAATTATCTGAGGGCGGTGGTGTGTGCCTGTAGTCCCAGCTACTTGGGAGGCTGAGATAGGAGGATCACTTGAACCTGGGAGGCAGAGGTTGCAGTGAGCCGAGATCACATCACTGCACTCCAGTCTGGGCAACAGAGCGAGACTCTGTCTCAAAAAAAAAAAAAAAAAAAAAAAAAAAACAGAAAAGAAAAAAAAGAGAAAAATGTTGTAGTATATGCTGTTTTAACTTGGTTTTATTTTACACTCTCCTGATAAAGATTCAAACAGTAGACAAGAATATAAATGAAAAAGTACATGTGTCCCATCCCCTACCCCCTTCCCCCTGCCCCAAACCCAGCTCCTGGTTGCCCGTGCTCAGCTTCTTGTCACACAGGAAATGTGTAGTCATTCCATCTTAGGGGTGCACTGCAGGGGATATTCTCTTTTTATGCTTTTGTGAAATTTTTAATTTTTTTCAATAAGTGTATTATTATGGAAATAAGAAAAAAATAGATACTTTTCAAAGTGCTCTGAATTAAGACAGGGCTTGAGCCTCCTGACTTCCTCCTCCCTTCAACTTGGGAGAAACAGGCCTGACACTACCCCCGACCCCACTGCCATCCACACTGTCCCTGCCACCGACCAGAAAAGGTCTCCAGTTCCATGTTGAATAAAATTCAACATGAGTCCTTTCCTCACCTCCTCCTCTGACCTCATGACCTCAACCCTCCCCTCCCTCTCCAAGCCTCTGCCAACCAGGCCTCCTTTCAGATGCCAGAGTAGTACCACAGAGAAGAAACCTGTTGCCCTGTTGATTTTTCAGGGGGACTCAACCCAGGAATTCTCCTCTGTCTTGTTCAACAGGAAGTGTCTAGAAATGGATCTGAAATACAACAAAGGAAGAAAGGGAAGCAACTTGAAAAATCCCTCTTTCACGTGGATGTCAGGTTAAAAACGACTGGCCTTGTTAAAACCGCACCTTAATGAGGCGCCTTCCCAGCCTAATTGTCACCATGGCAATGACCCCTGGTGGCCATCTTTAATTAACTCCGTCAGAGTCACCAAATGAGCTCCTCCAGCAAATTGCTCGCTAGCCCAGACAGTCACGCGGCCCCTCCTCTGTCCTCTGTCCTCTCTCTTCTGGCACAGGTGATGGGACAGAAAATTCTCAGCTCTGTTTTTCCTCTCTACCTGCTTGTTCTCTCTGGCATGGCCAGGGAGGGACTCAGACACTGGTAATAATAATAAAGTAATAACAATACTAGTGTTATGCTAAGCACTTTTTCTGTATTATCTCATTTAATCATCACAGTAATTCTAGGAGGGATGCACTATGATTGTCCTTTTTTTGTTTTGTTTTCTGATGAGAAAACTGAGGCACAGAGAGACTCAGTCAGTCATTGGCAGAGCTGGGATTTAAACCCAGAGCATCTGGCTCCAGAGTCACTATGGTAGTCCCTCTGCTGGAGATGAAGCTCACAGGGTCTCCTCCTTCTTCTGCAGCATGATAAAGACCTGGAATTGCTTGCATACCCACTACTTTCCAGCTGTATGACCTTGGGCTACTTACTTCACAAGTCTGAGCCTGGTTCCTCATCTGGAACAGGGAGGGTCATTAAAGTGGGCTGAGGGTGGGTCAGGGGCAGGAACAGCCTCATCAGTTCTGTTCAATAATGACATCCCATCTCCACCAGAACCTTCCTGTTGTATTCACCCTGGTGTGGCTTTAGAAGCAAGATGGCATGGCAGTTAAGAGATAATAAATGAGGCCAAATGTGGTGGTTCATGCCTGTAATCCCAGTACTTTGGGAGGCCAAGACAGGTGGATCGCTTGAGCCCAGGAGTTCCAGACCAGCCTGGGCAACATGGTAAGACCCCGTCTCTAATATATATTACATATATATGTAATATACATAATATATATTTTTATATATGTAATATACATAATATATATTTTGTATATATGTAATATAATATATATAAATATAAATATATTAGCTGGGCATGGTGGTACGTGCTCGTAGTCTGAGCTACTCAGGAGGCTGAGGTGGGAGAATCACCTGAGCCTGCAATGAACCATGACCACACCACAATACTCCAGCCTGGGTGACAGAGCAAGGACCCTGTCTCAAAAAAAGATAGAGAGATAATAAATGTCATCATCCATGTGAAGTTCTGAGCATAGTATCTGCCCACAGTAATGTTTAGTGAATATTAGCTGTTATTATTTTTACTAAGTGGATATAAGCAATCCCTGCTGTCCAAACGTGGAGATGCCCCCCCAGAAAGAACTCCTCCAGAAGACAGCTAACAGGAATGAGAGGAAAAGAAAGTAGTACAGCTGGCCCAATTGCTGCCAGTTTTAGAATACACAGGCAATAGGCTTGCACACCTGTGGGAGAATACACTGGGTAGCATGTTACAGCTGTGGACCAAACACGGTAGGCACTTGTGCTGGCCTTGCCCACTGAACACACCTACATCAACCTGATCAGGCTAGATCAGGAGGTCCAGGTGCTCACCACTGAGTCACATTCCATCCAGAAAGAAGAAAGATAATGGGTGATTCCCCTCCCTCCAGGAACACCCCCTGGAAGGTACACAAGATATTTCTGCTTATATTCAATTGACCAGGACTTAATCACATGTCCACACCCAGATCCAAGAGAGTTTGGAAATGCAGTCCTCATCTTGGGCAGCCAAGGGAAAGGGAGATGATCCTCAGGCTTTGCCACAAACCTTCAGGTCCTTCTCTATACCATCCCAGAGTGATATGTCTAAATTGCAACTTCTGACCACATTGAACTGCTTCATGGCTCCCCCATCACTTTCAGCATGAGCTCCAAGTTTATAAGCATGAATTATAAGGCTCTGCAGGGTCAAGCCCCCACTCCTTTCCCACTCACCCTTCATTCCAGCCATACCAAGCCACTGGGCATGTTTTGAATCACACAGGCTTCCATGACTATATACCCTTGCCTATGCTGGGAATGCCATTTTATCTCTTCTCCATTTAGTTAGAACACCACTTCCTCTGTAGAGCCTTTCCAGGGACAGGGAGAAAGAGGTGGCCAGGATGGACAGAAAAGGGTGAGCATTCAGACCAGGGCTGGGGAAGGAGGAGGCATTCTTCTGTTCAGAGCTAAAGAAATACCTGAGCGGTAGATGTGCCAGACTTACTTGTACCAGAGGAGGCAAACTGGGGCTAATCAGGGCTTTTGAGACAGGAAAGGATCTTGGATTCCAATTTGTTCTTGTACCTCCATTTGACAAATGAGGAAACTGGGACCCAGACATAGGCAGTAACTTGCCCAAGGCACACTGCAGCAGAGTTCCCCATCAGTGCTCACATCACACTTTTGTTGCTAGTCTGTAGCCCACGTATAAATGTTTTATGGGACCATGGGCAGTCCTAAGTGTATTGCACAGAGAGGTGTGGCTTGTGCAGGGGATGGATCAGCAGGGGTCGCTCAGAGGCCTCACTCTCTCAGCAGCTCCCTTGGCAGTCCCAGGACACCCCAACCTCCCCAACAACTCTCCCAACCCCCTCAGCCCACTCCCCACAAGGCCACCGGGCCTGGGAGTTGCACATGGCCCAGCCCTGAAGTTCCCCCATGACATCGGTAGTGGGTGCGGTGCAGCCTCTGAGGGGCCACCAAGACAGAGAAGGAACCCATGATAATCCATCTCCTGTGCTTGACCTGCCTCCCTTCTGTGGCCCCAGGACTCCTGAGAGTGCAAGATTCGTCCTTGTCTCTGCCCTTGGTGCATGAGATTGGGGGCATCGTGCTCCCCCACTAGATGGCGAACTGGCGACCATTGTTCCGAAGGTGGGCACGAAGCGAGAAAGGCTGCCTCTGCCTCTCAGGGTGGTGCGAGGACCACAGAGGTCCTCACTGGCTGTCGGGGAGCATGGGACTCTCACTGAGCCAGGGTTTCTGAGAGGAAAGCGGGCTACCATCTGCATAACTGACCAGTCAAGCAGAGCCAGACTGAGTTTGGGGGTATTATCTTTCTTGACTTGAAAAATAAGGTGAGAAGAGGTTTCTAGGGTGTTCCCAAGACCAAGCCAGGCAAGGGAGGAGGCCCTGGAGGGCCTCATGTCTGGGCATGTGGCCTGCACATACGCAGCCCAAGCCTGCTCTGATGGGACCCCTTCACTGAACTAGCTCATGTGCCCTGGTGCCCCATGCAGATCACATGTCATCCTGGTCAAGACAAGAGGCTACGAAGTTCTGATCCCAGAAAGGTAAATGTCAAACCACTTCGCCAGGAGGGATTTGAGCTGAAATGAAATAGAAAAGAAAAACTCTCCTAAACATTTGTACCCTGAGTGTCTTACTATGGCCCAGATTGGTTCTAAACTGAACTTTTGAAGCATGTGGAAGAATGAGGACCTGGTCTGTCAACAAGTCACTTACCTGGCTGAAACTGTTTAGTGCTTCACCACCTCTTGGGTTTCCTTCCCTGTGGCCTCCCCACTAGCTCCCAGATAATTTTTCTCTTCCTCAGCCTGCCTGGGTACCATTTCCTCCTACTCTCTATTGGTTCTCCCTCTAATATTCCCTCCCTACTTCCACTTCTCAGAAAGGACCTCTGTGAGGCCATATCGAAAGGTCAATTGTCAATCCTCATCTTTCTTGGCCTGTCAGCATATTGGATACTTTTGACCTCTCCTTTGTTCTTAAGACACCTCCACTGCCCCCAACCCCCAGCCTCAAGTACATCACTTTTTTTGTTCTCTTCCTCTTCAAAGACCCTCCGTCTCAGTTTCCTTTACTGATTTTCTTCAATTTCTTCCTCTAAAATCAAAGTACTCCAGTGTTCAGCCCCTGGAACACTTTTCTTCTTTGTACTTTTACTCTCTAGTGATCTCATCTGCATGGTTTTAGATAAGACCCATAAGCTGACCTCTCCCCGGTTAATATCTCCAGCCAGGACCTCTCCTCTGAATGCCAAGTTTATATGTCCAGTTGCCTAGTAGACTATCTCCCTTGGCTATCTAGTAGATCTCTCAAACTTAACTTGTTCAGAAACAGCCTCAGCTCCCCATCCCCAAAACTCTGCTCCTCCTTCAGTCTTTCCCAGTTCAGGAAACAGAAACTCCATCCTTCCAGGTGCTCAACCTCAAACCCCCAGGGTCATCCTTGACTCCACTATTTCTCTCCTACACACCCCTCTAATGTCTCAGCAAATGTAAGCAGTTCTATCTTCAAAATATATCAGAATTAGGCCAGTTCTAACCCATCACCACCATCCTGATAGGCGATTAATGTGGAAGAAGCAGACAGGGGCTAGATCATTGAGGGGGAGGGGTATCTTAGCTCTAGCAAGAACGTTTAAGTTTTATTCTGAATGATATGGAAAACCATATGAGTACTTTACATAGGATCAGATTTGCTTCTTGAAAAGACCACTCTGGGTACTGAGCGGAGAATGAATTGAGGAGGCAAGACGAGAAGTGGTGAATCCAGTTAGGTGGCTATTAAGGTTTCGGGGAATGATGATGGCGTGGACTACTTCCCTTCCAGGCAGAATCTCCCATCTGAGATGGGAGAGCCCGTCTCAGAGGCGGAAAGGCTGACCCAGGAAGTGCCTGAACAAGTGAGCCTCTGTCGGTGACCCCAACGGAGGCAGCCCGAGTTTCAGCACCACTGGGAGGACAGCTCCCATCTCGCCTCAGAGCCAGAGAATCCAGAGCCTCTGCACTGAGGCGAATCCTGCAGAGTCTTGGGGTCCAGCGCTGTCTCAGAGGCTGGTGGCTAGAAGAAAAAGGCAAATGCCCTTTCTCTGAAAACTTGTGTTTGCTACCCTTCATAATGGAGATAACGATGCCGCCACCGCCAAGCCAGACCCTTATGGATTTTAGGGGTCACCAGTGGAAGGGGAGACCCAAAGCAAACCCTCTGAAAATAGCGTCTGTGACAGACACCGGAGTTTATTTCCCCGACTTTGGAAAATTTTAAAAGATGCCAGATGTGCAGTAGGTTGGGGGAAGGGGCGTTTCTGCGCAGCTCCTGGTAGTCTGCACTGCTCTGTTGTGTCTCTGCTAACAAAGCTCCGAAGAACTAAGTTGCTTCTCTGAGAGCTGGACAGTTAAATCATTCCAGACCCAGTGCAGATTTTCTCCCTCCAATGGCAGAGTTTCTCTAGGATGGGGTAGTGAGAGGCCTGCCCTCTACTCCTGGCCCTCGTAGCTCTGTCCTCTCTAACTGAATCTAGTTTCCCCTGATCACTTTTGAACTGGATTGATTTTTTAATCTGGAGCTCATCAGGATTCCTCTTCCAGGAGTTGGGGGATGCCACTTGGCGTCTGCACCTGGGGAAGCCTCGCTGTGCCAATTCTGGCTCCTAAAGGTGCTGTCAGGAGGGTCAGGGAAGATGGGAAGGGTCTCAGCTTTCTCACTCAGAAATGACCTTTGGGTTTCAGAACCCCAAAGAGGAGCTTTCTCTCAGCTTCCCTATGAGAGGGGAAAGGGAGCAGCAAAGACTCTGACCTTGACCTTAGGGATACCCCAGACCACAGTGGGAGCTCACCCTGTCATGGCCATCTGCTCCACAGTGCTAAACCCACCATGTCTGCCATTGCCCAGGTACACATGGGCACCCTGTGCCCACCTAGCCTCCCTGCACTAGGTGGGGGCTTGATCCTTAGGCAAGCTTTGTCCTGGAAATGTCCCTTAAATGGGCCAGGCTCCAACTTCAGAACCACCCCGCTCTAAGGGATATCATAAGTCAGATGCAGAAGTCGGGCGGGGGGGGGATGCCAGGACTAGGTTTTTGGTGTGAAGGCAAGGCCAGACCAGACCTAGAATCAAATCCCATCCCCTTCTCTTTTTGCTCCCTCATTATGTGACCTGGGGTAAGTCACTTTTCACTTCACTGCTCCTGGCCTTAGGTTCTGCCCCTGTGAAATGGGGGGAAGTAGCTCCTCCCAAGGAGCTGCTGTTGGGAGTCACTGAAACAAAAGTAAACCTCTGGTCAATGCCCCATAATTGGCCCTCTGTTGATAAAATATGAATGCCCTTCCTGGAAAAGGGATACCTGAGGAGACTTCATAGAATTAAGGGAGACTTCCCCTCCCACAACCAGCCCATATCCTGTATCTTTCTAGACCCCCGCAACCTCCGATGGGGACTGGGCAAATATACTGCCACCCAAAAAGTGAGGGCCTGAAGGTGACCTGTCTTCACCAGGTTCCCACTTCAGTTCCTCAGATCAAGACCCCAAGTGAAGGAGACCTCTGCTCTCAGCCAGAATTATCCTGTGTGCCTCTCCTCCCTCCTGGGGTCCCAGCACTCCATTTTAGGAACTTTAAAAGGGGCCTGAGAAACAACAGGAGGCTTCTAGCTGGCTGCCCCAGGAACAAGGGCATCTGCTCCCTTTCATCAAGACTTCCACTACCCCATCCGTAAAACTGGGAGAAAGACTCCTCAGATGAGGATTAAACGACACAAAAATCCAGCAAGGCATTCAACACTCGGTCTTGACAGGCGTCCACAGAGGTTTACAGTCTCCCTGAAGACGCTTGCTCGCACTCCACTGAGGGGCTGGTATTTTGGCTCCCAAGGGTTCAAGAGGTTAAAAGATTTGGCCGAGTTCACACAGTTGGAAATGTGGAGCTCGACGACTCCAACCCAACTTCTCTAGGAGCAGAGTGTCTGGGAGGGCAGAAGCCAAGCTCCTGAGCCTGCCAGGCCAAACGCCGCGGGCCAGGAGTGGGCAGGGGCGGCGGGACTGCCAGCTCCCTCACTAGATCCGCTGGTTCAGCCACTGTTCCGGGACCACTTGGGCCAGCAGGGAACCGAGCGCATGTGCCCCCGGCCCCACCCTCTTCAGATCTCGCTCTTACCTACAGGGCCAAACCCGCCTGCTCTGGGGCGAAGGTAAAACCGTCTCCAATCATTTGCTCCTCAATATCTTTCTGATTCTGGCATCTTTTGAGCCGAGGTGCAACTCCTTTTTCCAATTAGCTGCTATGATGAACTGTCGGGAGCTCTGATATTTGAAAATATCTATGAAAACTACTCCATACATACATAGATGCATGCATATATACATAAACACATACCAGGGCCCCCAGATTAGCTGTCCCTCCAGCTGCCGACCCGCCACCGCAGAGTAGTGGACGAGAAAACCTGGCGCTGCCGGAAGCAGAATGAGGAATGTCCCGTTCAAGGCCAGATCCCATGTGGCACCCCTGCCCCATGCCAAGGTGGAGTCTCCGGGCTTTACCTCTTCCCGGTCTAGCCGCAGGGATGGGGGAAGGGTGGGGTGCGGGGGGATGGTACTGTTTCCACCCCAAAACTGCCATGAGGAGGCCCCTTGTACGCACACCTGCAGCCCGGAGTGTCCCCGCCAGGCAGCTTTACTTCGCTAAGTGAGTTGTACTGAGTGCCTGCTCCGAGCCGGGTGCAGCGGAGAAGCAGAGCTCCTGGTGGCCCTCCTGCAGCATAGGCACGCACCGACTCGGGATAGCGGCCGGGCATCGCCCTCAGCCCCGCGCTTCCCAGGCCAGGCCCCGCCGGGAACCAAACCCGTGCCCCGCTGCAGCAAAGCGACATTCGCCCTCAGGAAGTCGGCCCTGTAGGTCTGCGTTGGTTCAAAAGCACCTCACTGCGCCCTCTCCAAGCCCCCACTTCCCAGTCATCCTGACTTCACGGCGCCCCCCAGCGCCTGACGGGGGCACTGCACACAGTAGGCGCTCGGTCAAGGGTAATTCCCTCCCTCCTTGAGGTCTGGAGCCGGCAAGTGATGACTACCTGGGCTCCCCCTGCTGGAGACCGCAGTAACGACCTGAGGCCCCATCCTCTCCGAACGCTTATTTTTTTTAACTACTGGAGACTCTCAGCCCACCTTCCACCCCATCTCCGCCTCCTGCCAGTTACCGGGCAGAGGCTATCAGGAAGATCTTATTTTCCCACAACTTTATCCTGAATGCAAACAAAATGAAAAATGCACACATTTACCCAACAAATATTTACTGAGCACTCACTTTAATATTAATCACCACAGCGAACGCTGAGTACTTACTGCATGGAAGGCATTGTTGGGCTCTTTTACATGTATCAGCTCATTTAATCCTCACAACAACCCTAGCAGGGTGGTATTATTATTATTCCCACTTTGCAGTTGAAGACACCCAGGCCCAAAAAGATGTGGCCAAGCTCTCTCAAAGAGGGGAACAGGCTTTGAACCGGGATGTCTCCGGATCCCTGGCTCCTAACCATTACATTACACCATGGAACGCCATGGTAAAATTAAAATATATACATATATATATATATATATATATATAAAAGACATCACAAGTGGCTTCAAAGCATCCCTTGTTCTCTAATTCACACTGTGAAATTTGTCCTACGAAGAGAAACAGACACACGTTTTACCTAGAGAGAGATGTTGAGGTTTTCTGGTCATTTTCTGGGTATGCATTTGCTTGGGCCCCCAGCAGATATAAGAGTAATATTATATCTCCTGGTTGCCCAACATATTGGTTGCCCCACGTATTGAACAAGATGTAAGGTTAAAAAAAAAGTATGCAAACAACTACCAGTCTGAGGTCCCCACCCCATCACTTCAAAGCTGTACTTCCTTCCAGAATAGAAGAGAATGAGGCTCCATAAGACTCAGTGGACTGTTCTTCACTCCTAAGAAGTCAGGAGCATGAAGAAGCCTAACCTACCTCTTTTGGACACTCTTCCCACCCCGCCCCAGCAAACTGAATTAATCACACTCTTTATGAGCCTCTCCTTTGTTCCCAGAGACCCTGAATGGGTCCAGCCACTCCCCTCACTAAGAGCCTGGGCGCAACTTTGGTGGAGGTGATAAGTGCCATGGTAAAGGTACACTGTGCAGAGTGAGTTAGGGTGAGACCACCCACCTTGGGAAGGGGGCCACGGTGAGAAAGCCATGGATCTAGACCAGGAGTACAAGAATTTTAGAATGGAGAGAGCCCTTAGAGGCCAGCTAATGCATCACTTATCCAGCTCAAAGACTTGCAAGATGCAGGGCCAGATGCGGTGGCTCACGCCTATAATCCCAGCAGTTTGAGATGCTGAAGCAGGCAGATCACTTGAGACCAGGAGTTCAAGACCAGCCTGGCCAACATGGCAAAACCCCATCTCTACTAAAAAATACAAAAATTAGCCAGGTGTGGTGGCACACACCTGTAATCCCAGGTACTTGGGAGGCTGAGGCACAAGAATTGTTTGAGCCTGGGAGGCAGAGGTTGCAGTGAGCCGAGATCATGCCACTGAACTCCATCCTGGGCGATAGAGCGAGACTGTCTCAAAAAAAACAACAACAACAACAAAAAAAAAAACTTCCAAGGTGCCACAACTGTGCCTTGGGCACAGGATGTTAAGCGATCCACTTCAGTCCCTGATACCAACATTCCATTGTGGAAACTAGAGACCCATTACATCACTTTCCTCTCTGCCCCAGCCTTATCTCTGTCCCCTGGCCCAGGCCTATCTATTAACTGTGTGTGTCTAGCTTTCCCATTTAAGACTCTAAGATCCTTTGAAGACAGGCTTGTATGTTACTCACCACTGTATTCCAAGCACTGGGCACAGGGTCTGATAGAGAGTAGGAGCTGAACTAAATAAATGAATTATCCCACAACATCTCTGCTTGGCTATCATGCTGCCCCTATTGGAATCCTCCTAGAGATGAGGCACTAGCTATTTCTCCATGGGACTGCATCCCTGTGCGTCAGTTAGCAGGTGAGTTCTCCTGTCTGCAGACTCCCAGACCTAGTTATCACCCTCTGAGCCTTTCCTGAATCCTGAAAAAAGCTACTGATTGTACCAGACAGCCAGACACCTGGCTTCTGTCCTTGGAGCATGGTCCAATCTTGAAAAGGGAGATCTCTTCTCCCCAAAGGACACAGGAGACCCAACTGAGCCCCAGAGAACCCAGCCCACTTGGGGGCTGAGTTCATAGCACAGTGTGTAGCTGAGTGGGGGCTTATCCTCAAAACTCCCTTGCATGTCTGGTAATGAGTGTCTGGGAGAGGCTGGCCAGAAAATATGGAAACACTGTAATGTCATGTTGGTTCTATAGTATTTTCCTGAGTTTTCACATGTCAGTGTGAGCCAGAGGATGGGCATGCATCCATGCATGTGTGTGCATGTCAAACTACTTGCACATAGGCTGAGCATGGACCTAGGAATGCGGCCAGAAGCAAGTCTATATCCTGGGGAGGAGGGGTGGTGCGCCACAGTGTGCACAGGCTGGTGAATGCCCCCAGAAAAACTGGGGTCTGGATGACCCTAAGGGTGTATGTATGTATATGAGTATGCAGGAGTGTGTGTGTGTTCACAAGCAATCTGAGTGGCTGGCCGTGTGTGTGTGTGTGTGTGTGTGTGTGTGCACAGATATAAAGACAAACTGCAGTCTGGTTCTGTCTGGGTAACATGTGTGTGATGTGTGTATATTTACAAGTATTTCCTAACCTAGTTTAGTGACGTTGTAATCTTGTGGCTGAGCATGCATGTGTACATGTATGTGTATATATGTGTGTTTACAATGTAATCTCAAGCCTGCATGTGAGTGACTAGTGTGACCGTGTGTGTTTGTGTTTTACATGCACATTCCAGCCTGGTTCCATACCCCAAGACCCCATAGAATATGAAGGTCCTCTGATGAGCCCAGTACATCCTGACGCTGGCTGAGTGCTGGGTGGAGTATGTATAGGTGACTGGTGTTTACCAGCAACTTTGACCAGCCACCAGCCTTTGTCTGGTGCCCACTTCCCATGGCCCCTAAATTCCTCACCCTGGTAGGACCCTGGCTGTCCTTGCTCTGGACTGCCTTCCCCAAGGAGTCCCTTTAACTCACAGCCCCTTTCCTGGCCAGGGGGCTGGGAGTTGGGGGATATTCATCTCGGGGAGTTTTTGTTCTGCCTCATGAAAAGCCTCAATGGCTGGGAATACCATTCTAATTACGGGGAAGCCCAGCTTATGTGGGGGACACAAAGGGCTGTGGTCTCATAGCAGCTCCTTCCATCCGTCAAATAAGGCCGTCTAATGACGGGGTGAGAGCTGTGAATGCCTAAAACAAACTCGAAAAGGAGGGAAAATAAAGCCGCCGGGGGCTTAAAATATATTAAATTACCCTGATTAGGAGCCGTGGCTTTGCAGGCACTAGTTGGAGAGGCTGGGGAGGCTGTGAGTCCCACTATTCATGTCAGGGGGGAAGAGGGGTCAGTAGGTCGGGGGCGGGGGGTGTTCACAGAGCCCTAGCCCATTCTCATGCTAACACCAGGGACACACTGCAGGCTTACTGGGCTGGAAAATAGAAATGAATTTGCCGTAATCCTCCTTCTTCTCTCGTTCTCTCTCTCTCTCTCTCTCTCTCTCTCTCTCTCTCTCTCTCTCTCTCTCCCTCTGCAGCCCAGGAGAAGCTTTGCCTAATCACAGCCTGTTAGAGCCTGCTGGGCATTGGGGCAGAGCCACACCCCAGAGCCTGTGTCCCTCAGCCCTCTCATCCCCTTGCCCCTTTCTGTGGGGTCCAGAATGAGAATGGGCTCCAGGGCACACGTGAAGGAGCAGTAAAGGCAGGCGGTGGGGTTCCAGTGGATGGGGAGTGCCAGGCCCTTTTCCAGCGTACAATTATTTACAATCCACAATTACCCCTTTAAGCACATGTACACAATTCACAGACACAAATATCCCTTTACTCTTCACACAACTCCTCACAACACATCCCTTCACAAACACACACTTAGATAGGCACAAATACATCTGTACACAATATGCTTCTTCAAGGGCAAATACACATCTACTCCTTCAAGGGCAAATACACACAAATACACACAGGCACCCACGGAGCTCTTTACAGGCACCCACGCATGGAGACATAGCCCTTCTCAGACGGCCATAGGCTGCCTCCAACACACACATGCACCAACACGTGCACCAACACATATGTGCATACCCATGCAGACTCCTGCACACCCCTTCAGGCATACCTCCAGAACCACGACCTAGTACAACTGCAATGTTTCACAACGGAGGAAACTGAGGCTTAGAGGGCAGCGGAGGGGCCGCCCTTCCCCAGCGCTAGTTGAGTCAGCCCTGTTTTTAAGTGCTGCAGGACCTTGGATAAGTCGTTGCCCTCTCAGGGCCTCAGTTTCCTGCTATTAAAGAGGGTGTTTGGACTAACGTTCTAGAAAACCCTTCCAGCTCAGAAATTGGTTGGAGCCAGTCTCAGGGACTATCTCTTGTGTCCCTCCCCTGCTTCTGCACACTCAGGTGGATGTCCGCGCCTCCACGGTGCACATAATGAATCCCTCCAGTGTTCGCACGGTTACAAACTAGAGGGTCCGTTGGGGAGTCCCGTACCCACACCCTCGCAGGTCCCGCTGTAAGTGGCTCCGCCGTCCCGCCCGCCCACAGTCAACTGCGCGCTCCTTCCTGTGATTTTTGTCGGTGCGACTATCCCGGTTTGGGACGTGAGGGTGTCAGGTGTGGCTCTGAACCACCAAGCCCCACAGCGTGGCGCCAGGGACCCGGGAGAGGCGCCCGAACATGCTCCTCTCGGGCCCCCGGCGCCCTCTGTCGGCGGATCTGGAATAGGAGCGCCCGGAGGAGGCCCGACGCGTGCACGTGACCCTGCGACCTGACCCCGGGAGTCTGCACAATGCAACCTGCGCCCGCTAGTTCTCGGCTTGGCCGTGGGGAGCCAGGGATCCCTAGGCCAGACTGGAACAGAGACCACCAGAGTGAACTGAACAGATGGAGCGTGGGAAGCGCAAGACCGGCCCCGCCACCCCCTTCCCCCCGCGTGGCCCCTAGGAACACCCCTATCTGCCAGCCCCCCACACAGAGCAAGCGCGCGCGGGGGTATGCAGAGCACCCAGGCCACAGCGGGCACACCAGGGCCGGCTGCCTGCTGCTAGCGAACCTGAGCCCATTGGCCTCAGCGTTTCCATCCGTGATGTGGCAGCCAAAGTGTGCCAGGGAGAAGCCCCGGGAAGTTCAAGAACCTACCTCCCACCTACCCCAGGCAGAGAAGGCAAGGACCCGCGAGCCCCCACCAGATAGCCCACAAGGGCACCCGGCTCAGCCGAGGCTGCTGCTGCCCCTCTTTCCTGGAAGGCAGCGCCAGGGCTGAGCTAAGCCGCTTGCTGAAAGTCTGTCGGGACAAAACCTGAAACTGCAGTGGGGAAAGCTGGTGCAACCGAGATCCTTCTAGCCTGGGCATCAAGACGCTCTAAGTGGTGATCTGACGTCATGGGAGTTAAGCAGGGTCCTGGGGAACCAAAAGCCACCAGCTTTAAGATGGACGCTCCTGGTGTAGGCTAGATTGTTTCAAGGAACCCAGGGGTTTCAGTAGCCGACATGAGAGGGGGACCACAGATCCCTCCCTAACCCCTCCAAGGGGTCCGAGGCTTGCACGTGATGACTATCCAGGGGCCACAAGTACTCCCAAGGAGGGATGTGAGAGCCCAAATCTCAGGCTCTGGCACTTGGTGCTCCATCCTTGCCCCTGCGGACACGCTGCTCCCTACCTGGTCTCAGGTTTGCTAGTCCCTCACTGGAGCTGTCTTTTTGGGGTTTATCTAGGTGGAACCCCACGTGCCTTCTCCCGGCTTCCCAGCTCCAGGTCAGCTTCCTGCACACTGCTGTCATGGGCGGAGGCACTCCCGTGGCTACCCCTTCAAAAGAACCAAGATGAAGGGGGGTGATTAGTGAGGGTGAGCTGTAGTGGGGAGATTTGGGGAGGTGGGAGGTTTGAGGACAAGCCACACTATGTGAGAGGGCTGGGCTTATGCTCTTTCCTGCGGCCTGAGTCCAGTCTGGAGGGCCTCGACCCCAGGGTTTCCGAAACGGCTGTCCCAGGCCTCGGGCCTGGCTGCACCATGCCAGTCAGGGAACCGGCCCTGGGGGAGCCCTGCTCTGCCCTGATTCAATTCCACTTCTCCTTGGTCTTCTGTGGGGGATCTGCTTGGGACCCCAAGGGACGCAAGAATGTGAACGAAGGGCGTGGCTGAGAAGGGTGAAATGAGGTCTCCTAAGAGAGAGGGAGTCGAGTTGAAGCCTTTACCACTTCCACCACGCTCTGCTCCAGCCGTGCCTTGGGGGCCAGTCCCGGGCCTGGAGAGAGCGTGCAGGCGCCCTCTCTTACTTGTCCCCCAAACCTTTTCCGGCCGCGCTCACCGCCCATAAATTCCATAAATTTGTGAGGGCGCGCACACACCTACGCCATCAAGGCATTTAACACAAACACACAAGAGCAACGAATTCGAATTCCAGAATTTTCACCACATAAAATTAAGCTTCACCTGGGGAAGCTCATCCCCTGCACCTGGAGGTGGGGAGATGGCGCAGAAGAAGGCGCTTGTGAGATGCCCTGCGGAGCTGGAGGGAATCCCTACTCCCCGCCCTCTTGGCGGCTTCCCGCGGCCGCGACCTGGAGCCCTTGTTCCAGGACTAGGAAGGCTCGGGGCTGACTCCACGGGGACTAAACGAGCCTGCGTGGGCTGGAGGCAGCCCGAAAGCCACGAAACAGAAGTGTCTGGTTTTCCCGCAGGGGTCCGATTTGCAACCGGTAAGGCCGGAGATATTGGGAATTTGGAGCCGTTCCTACTTTAAAGCCTACGTCCAGAAGTCACCTTCGCCCCACAGTGTCTGCCCTCATGTAAATGGCCCTCCCATCAGTTACCTCCCGTGAATCATAACGACAAACAAGATCTTGTTATTTTTCTAGAATATTCCAAAAATGAGCATCTGTGTTTGGAGCGAATTCCAGCGGGGCCGAGCTTGTCTTCTCCGGCATGATGGCACCGCCAGGGCTCTGGGAGGATCTCCGGGCCAGGCGCCGGCCTAGTGACTGGGGCTGGGAGGAGCTGGGGAGGCATGGCCATTGGCGTTTCTGCGTAGAACCGCAGCCCAGGGATCCCGCATCCGGCCCCGCAGCAGTCTCGGGTTCTCTGGCGCGCCCGCTCGCCTCTCGAGAACCTAGTCCCCGCGCAGGCCTCCCCACATCGGAGCCGGGAACACCCTCCAGCACCGTCGCAGGACCCCGAGGGTCCTACCCAGTCATTAGCAAGAGTCGAGGCTGGATTTTCAGCGGCCGCCTGCGTTCAGTATAAATGGAACGTGCTAGGAAACTCCGATATGCAGCGATTTTCTAAACATCCCGTTATCCCTGAAACCCGTGTGGCCACCGCCATGAGTCATGCAAGGACTGGGCGACAGAAGCTCTGAGCTTCTATTTGTAAAACACAGAATAAATCGGGAGAGCTGAATGAAGACAAAGCCATTTTTAAACGTTCGATCGGTGAGATCTCCCCCACTTAGCAAACGCTTTCATTTTCAGAGCTGCCTGTGGCCTTACGCAGGTTCAGAAAATCGATTGTATTCCTGGGTGAATTCCACCCAGGGAACCGAGTCCTGGGAATGCGCGCCCATGTACACAGAAAGCCCACATTTTAGAAGGAATGTATGAGTGAAAAAGAAGCAAGTATTCCGGACGCAAATGAGTTTGTAAATTTACTCTCTTGCCTTCGTGGGGATCTTCAAATTGTTTACCCTGCTTTTATTCCCTCTGTGGTGCTGCCACGGGTGCGCGGGCTGAGCAGGCCGCCCTTCTCCCCACTTGGAGAACTCTGAAACCTGAGGGCCTCTGCCGGAAGCTGCTGTTCGGCCCATCCGGGTTCCCAGAGGAGCCACTTTTCCTCCTACTAGCCCGGGGATTGCAAAGTATCTGGATCCTTAAATTCTCTATCCCATATGCCCAAGACTTAAGAGCCAGACCCAGATGTGGGGCCCAACTGGGGGAAAGTAGGGGAACCCAGGGTACAGCTGGGGCCCACCCGACCAATGCTGGCAGGCACCACAGACACCTCGGTCCACCTTTCCAATATTTTGCTCAATGTTTGGGGTACCCAAGGGGCAGCGTGCCCGCATGTTGATGCAAGTGTGACCCCTGTGGCTGGAACGCCGGACAGGGCTTTCCTAAGGCCCTGCATTCCGCGCACTGACTTTTCCTATCAATGGGAGAGACGCAGGCTATTGACCCAACGGCCTCCTCCTCGCCGCCTATTGTCGCGGCTCAATCGCGCACTTACCGGAAGAAAAGCGAGTTTATCTTAGCTTGGAGGAGCCTCGTGTTGCGAGTGTGTGTGTGTGTGTGTGTGTGTGTGTGTGTGTGTGTGTGTGTCTCAAGGGTGAGGGGAATTCTGCAACCAGAACTGCGCAGATGGGTTGTGGATAGACAATTTCAGAAAAGGGCCAATTTCCCCTTCACAATGAGCGCTAAGTACCTGATAAATGGGGTTGGTGTTTATTCATGAGCAGGTACTTGGAGACGGCGATTAGAACAGCCGCCTGCGCTGCCTCGCCAAGGTACTTAAATCCGGGCAGGTGCAGCGCGGCGCGCGGCCCCAGCTCACAAAGCCCGCGGCCGCCGTGGAGCTGGGAGAGGCGTGGGAGCTGGGAGAGGCGTGAAAGCTGGTCGCGCCGGGCCCCGAGGGCGCGCTGCGCGCAGGCACCTTAGTCCTTTGTTCCTCACTGGAAGCCAAGGCCACTTCACCAAGGGGCGCCCCGGGAAAACCTCCCCTTTAATTACTAGGAATTTCCCTTCTTCACTCCTCTGGGAGCCCAGCCGGGCAACTATAGGTCTGGCGGCCGCGGAGACTCAGCGTGGGTCCAGGCTTGGCGTTTGCATAAATGCTGCCTGTGAGCTGTCTATTAGCTAACCGGCTAAGTAACTAACTAAAATAGGAAGAAACAGAACCCAGGCCTGGGAACCGCGCGGGCACGCGGCTCTGGTCGCCCCCGCCGCCTAGGCGCCACCTCTGGCGGTGCGGGCAACCTCGGGCTTTCAGGTTTTGTTTCAACTCCAAGGGGAGAAAATTGGGGTCTGTCTCTTTCTACAGCTTCCTGGCGCCGAGGTCGTGGGACAAACCCGATCTCGCCCTCAGAGCGGCTGCGGAATCTCTAACAACTCCCAGCTTTTGCTCACGAGAGGCGGCCTCTCCTCGACGCGCGCGGAGAGAGCTCAGCAAACGCCAAGACCTTGGGGGACAGAGCGCAGGATCCTCTGCGCTTGCGGACTGGGAGCGGGCGGAGGGACTCCTGGGGCTGCTCCCAGAAATCTTGTCTGATATACCACTAGTAGCTCAGGTGCTTGGGGTACGTAGCGTCCGGAGGTCTGAGGCAATAATGGCTGGCGCACCTTCAGCCCGACTCCTCAGGCCTGCCCGGATGCCTCTTAAAAAAAAAAAATCTTTTCGAAAAGCAGATCCAGATTTTTCTCCAGTGCAGAAAGTCAGAGAGGAGAAACCTGTTTCAAACAAGTTGGATTTCCTTTGGGGAGAAAATTCTTTCAGAGTGATAGGAAACAAGGCACAGGGACCTGAAGTCACCCACTGCGAAGAACCCGACGGCTCTCTCGCCCGATGCAGATTGACCAGGAGGCTGTAGATATTAACGTTCATTACAGATTTTCTTGGAACCTTGGGGTTAGAATAAATTATAGATAAAATAATTATGATTCCCTGGGAAATTCGACATCCCGGATGTAAGCGCAAACCGAAAGTGGTAATCCAGGGGCGCCTCGGGAAGGAAAATAGAGGTGGGTCGAGTGCCCACGGCCTGGACCGCGCATCCACCAGCCAGTCCTCTACCGAGCAGGTCTAGGGGCCAGATGTGCGGGCGGCCGAGATTTATTAAGAGAGCAAGTCTTCCTCTCGCATCTTTTGCCAGGACCTGAGTTAGGGTTCCAGGGTGAAGTGTTTTCTCCGGTTACAGCCTGAGTCTCCTGCGCCAAAGAGACGGGTGAGGTGGTTTGCAGGACAGTCTGGCAAGCCGCGGAGGGCCGAGACGCGCGCGCCGCCGCGTTGACAATGCCATGCGAATAGTCTCATTGCACGACGGCCTCGGGTAAACATTACTGAGAGGTTGAGGGGCACTGGCCTGGACGCTCAGCTCCGTACGCCGGAAAGGCATGTAGCCCACAATACCGGGCACAAGAAGCGAACGGCATCACCAGGCTGGGGTGGACAGAGCGCGGCCTCCCCTATGCCGCCCTCAAGATCATGGCCGGCCTCGGTAGGGGGCCCCGAATTTAGGCTGGAAGTAGAAAATATATTGGAATGGGTGGGGGAGTGGGGGATAAAGATGACGCATCACGAAGCAGTTTTTATATTTTCCATTCCCAAGACCTTTAAGGCACACTCAAGAGATGCAAGTGTGATCAGGAGGGCCACCAGTACTAACACTCACTACTGACTTTCTTCGCATGAAAGATTTAGAATAAATTATAAAAATACAATGAATGTGATTTCTAGGGAAACGTATGCCCAGGTGTAATCCTTGCAGCCCCCTCCTCACTTCCTTGGGGGGGCTCCCCACCCACATTTTCCCCAATCCCAAACCCTAACCCCTCACCCCTCGCTGTAAGTTTGTTTTTTCTCAAATGGAGAAAAGGCTCCCCAAACTGGCAGGAAACCATACCCTACAGAGGCATTTGAGCACATACATTCCGGGCCCGCGCGGGCACCTCCCGCCTTCTGATTTGTGTATTTCACTCTGGCTAAACCCCACTGACCTCGGGTCCCCCTCAGGCAGTCTAGTGAGTTAGGCCATGAGACCTGCCAAGCAGGAGCCCTGGGCGGGCACTGCTGGGTAAATCAGACCAAACGCACCCAAATCTGACTCCAGAACCACCAAGGGCAGAACCCTTTCCACCCATGAAAATTTTTATGTGGTTTTGGGGTGCGTTCGAACAGGAACCTCCAAAGAGTTTTGGTTACTCCAGCTACTATATCACAAATGCCTTATCTTTCTGTTTGGTGATAGAACCTCTATGTCCAGGCAGGAAAGTCAAGAACATTTCATTAACCTGGCATTCTCTTCATTGCCAGTCCAGTGACTGATGTAAAGCTGGTGCTACTAATGTCAAATTCTAACCAGAAACCACCAGGCTAGAAGATAACTCCTTGACTCACAGGGTGTGGTGCAGGCTGGCTCTTCCTGAGGCTCACTTCCCACCCCAGCTCCCTCCTCACTGCAGCAACCCCCTCCATGGGGTAGGACAGTGGTAACCTTCAAGATGGAGCCTCTTTGGGGAAACTCAGAGGAAGCCCACCCCTGCCCCCTTTCCCCTAATCCTCCATCCTCTCTCTTGGTTTGTGATGAAAGGACTAAGGTTCCTCTGACCCAGGACCAAACAAGGCAGGGATTAGGTAAGCATGTGATTGGGTAAGCAGGATCTCCCACCCACCTCACCCTTTGCAAAGCACCTTCACACACAGCATCTCCTATAATCCCCCACTTGCCAGGCCTCCCAAGGAGACACTGTCAGCTTCCTTCAGGAAATAGAAACTCAAAGAATGGATCTGGGTTACCTGGAGATCTCCTAGCAAGGAGAGGTAGAGCCAGGATTCCTCCTGGCATTCTGATTCCAAGTCCAGGGTGGTGGTCCTTGACCCTCCCCCCACAATTCCAAGGAGGATGGGGGCATCTTTCAGGCAGCCTTGTGGGATAGTATGGGGACCTGACTTGGCACCAAGAGGTGAAGACATTCAATTGAACGCCACCGTCATTCAGTCCCCACTTCTGTGCAAGGCACATACCAAGAGTGGGGAGGGCAACAAACATGGCTTCCATGGCCCCTGGCTCCGGGATGGAGAAAAGCTCCCTAAATTGGCAGGAAACCATATGCTACCAAGGATATGCCCAGAGCATGGG
Organism: Homo sapiens; assembly: GCF_000001405.40. Taxonomy (NCBI): domain Eukaryota; kingdom Metazoa; phylum Chordata; class Mammalia; order Primates; family Hominidae; genus Homo; species Homo sapiens. The sequence goes on along the minus strand of NC_000015.10, from coordinate 89,404,514 downwards.
CAGTGCTCCAGAAGGACAAGGACAGTTCTCCAAGGACCAGATATAAGGCCCATTGGCTAATTGGACACCATGGTACCTCGAGTCCACTAAGGCCTTTAGAAACTATCTGGGACTTCTTTACAGAGTAGGCAGCTGTTTTACTCTGCTGGTAGTAGAAGTGGCTAGGCCCTTGAAGAGGCTCCAGTAAGGTAAGCAGCTCTTCTCCCCAAGACCTTGACATGCAGCCCCAGTGTGAGCTCTGCTAAGAGATCGCGATTCTAGTGTCCACTTTGATAATGGCCTCCAGCAAGTCCTTCTCCATCTGCTTGTTTCCTCAACTGCCAAGTGAGGGGGCTTGTAAAAGAAGGTTCCTAACATCTCTAACCTGGGCCTCTAAGAAGTGTGAGGGAGGGTGGCTACGGAAGAACCCCCTGCTGACTTCTAAGGACACTTGGAGAATGAGTTTTACCCAAGAGAAGTACACATTTCTTTCTGAAATTTGGTCCCTAAATAAACAGTTTGATAGTGGGATAAGGCACATAGACCCTGGAGCCAGCTCCCTGGGTTCAAATCTGCCCCCGATCTGCCAGTGAATAGCTGTGTGGCCTTGGGTCACTTTACTCAGTCTCTCTGTGCCTCAGTTTCCTCATCTCTAAATCAGAGGTCCTGGTGAGGATTAACTGGCACAGGCTAGCTATTAATATGATTTGCCCACACCCCTGGATACAGCCTTGTCCCTTCCCAGTCCTCTTGGTTTCTGCCATGGACTGTCACCATTTCTGCCCCTGTTCCACTGCCAGGATTTCAGCCTTGCCTGGATCTAGCATCTGGTCAGGAATGGGATGAAGAAGGCAGGCACCGGTGTATTGCCTGCTTGATGGGTACCTTGCCTGAGTAACCTTTTTACCTCAGCCTGTTACTTATTTTTGGATATAGAGAGAAATTGAGCCTGTCTCTGTCTCTTTCCTTAATAATACCCCCAAGTGGAGACAGCTGTGTGAAAACACGTGTCCTTGGCTTTAAGGGGTGAGAGAGTGAGGGAGACCAAGCTGACCAGTCCCACTCATGAGGAATCCTGTCAGAGGCAGGTACAGCACAGAATTTCTGATGTTTTTGTTCTCCTTACACACACACACACACACACACACACACACACACACACACACACACACGTCAGCTCCCTGAGGGCAGGGGCTTTTCTGTTTTGTTCTCTGCTGTATACCCAGTGCCTAAAACAATGGCTGGCACAGAATAAGCACTGAATAAATAAAATAAATATAAATTACTTGAAAGGAGGCAGAAGCATTCCACTGACTAGATCTATTATACTTCCATAGCACGGTCTAGTCTTAATTTATTTTCCTCATCAATAGGTAATAGAGTTTATGGCTAAGAAAGTGAAAAAGAACATGCTTCAGATTTCTCTCCTTAAGAGTCATCTTGGTCTCTAATTCTCTCAATTAGCCACAGGGCCTTTCAACCCTCCCCCCACCCACACACTCACACCTTCCTAAGTGCTGAGAGCCCAGGAGAGACAAGGTTTCAAGGGTCTGTATTTAAGACATCGGGGGTCCACAAGACCTACTGGGAGTTTGAATTATTTGCGTACAGAATGAAGCTGCTATCATTCCACAGTCCTGGCACCCCGGGCACTTAAAGCACGTGGAGATGTATCGGTGTTGTTTTTTCTTTTCTGAGTGGGGAGGGGCACTGTTTTCTGAAAATGCATAGTGACAGTAAATTGTCATTAGAGGTGATTGCTGGTAATAATAATGGCTGTCATTCAAGGATACATTTATGACTCTGGCCCTGGGCCAAACCTAGCATCTTCTTTCATCCTCACAAGTCCATGAGATGAGATCAATTTGCAAATCCATTTTACAGATGAGGATATGGAGATTTGACACAAGTCACATGGTACGTAAGGGAGAGAGCCAGAATTTGAATGAAAGACTCCAAAGGAAGCTGTTCACTGTCCCCCAACCCCTGACTCCTTTCTGTCTCTGGGTGATAAGGAAAGCAAGGAAATCCACATGAAATGTGACTTGGGAGAGGAGGCATTTAGCCACTACCTTAGGAGCAAAGCTACAAAGTCAGTAGTATAGTAAAGCACAGTGAGTCTAACCCTTCCTGCCAAGTATAAAGCCTACTGGACCTTCTTCGGGATGTGAGACTGAAGGCAAGTTACTTAACCTCTTCATACCAGTTTCCTCTTTTATAAAAGGGAGCCATCTCCTTTAGTTGGGAGGACTAAATGAGTTAATATATAAATAAATTATTGTTCTCTCAGTCTACTGCAGAGTAGTATTTATACCACCGCTTGCCAACTGTGGCTGCCTTAAATGTCCTCATTTTACCCATCCAAATTAGGGAACCTACAGGAGAAAAATAGTGGTTTGTCCGAGAGCTCAGGCCAGAAGTGCCCAGGAGGAAGAGGAAGAGTCTAGAGCAGCCTTTACAGATGGTTTTACAGACGGTTTTGCAGAAAAACGTTTCGCTTTCCCTTTTTTAAAAAGATGTAAACATCTTCCCAGGCTCCTCTGACATCAGCGTGTCAGTGATGAATCATCGGGAATCTAAACACACGCACTAGGTAGGTCAGTCTCCATTTTTAGTCAAGTTTCTGGTGGCTCCACGGAGACCTTGCAAAGGGGTCCCAAGTCATGTGCAGTTCATGAAACCTTAGCTCCTCTAAGCCCTCTGGGGGCCCCGTCAGATGAAGAGCAGAGCTGCACAGAGGCTGAGGGGATCCCTTCTGGCATTTCTTCTTCTTTTTTAAATTTTAAAGCAATTTGCATAGAATTTTTCTTTCTTTTTTTAACAGAGCACACAAAACCAACGTTTTCAGGCTGGTTCTTGCTTGCAAGTGAGAGACTTCATATGTGATGGAACAGAGGAGAGGAGCCCCTGGGAGCTGTTATATTTAAATCAATATTAAAAACAAAAATTCGACCATCTCAGTGCTTGTTAGATTTATGTGTATGTATGATTTTTTTATTCATTCATCCAGAAATGACTTCATTTACTGAGTATTTACTAAGTACTCAGATGTGCAGCTGACCCTCTGCTGAAGGTGTCAAGGGAGGGAGAGATGTGGAGAAAATCTGGGTAGGCCTCCTGGAGGAGGAGGCACTGGACAAAGTTTGGCCAATTGGAGTTGGGAAGGAATGTACTCAAGTAGGCTGGCAATTCAGCATGAGTAAAATCCCAGAAGTGAGAAATCCCAGGACAACACAGAGAAGAGGGGAAGGAACGCACAATGGGAGCAGTACAGCTGCAGGGAAAAGGCCTTCTTCCCCCTTCTAATTTGTTACTTCTAACTTGCTGTGAATTTAGAAGCCAAATATTGTGGTTGTTAGAAGAGTATGTAAAGCATGGGTACATAAATGACCTCAAAGCAAGCACCTGAGAGTGAAAGGCAGGTATAGGGGACAAGATTTGGGCCACTCAGAAGAAGCCCCCGTGCCCTTTCAACTTGGCAGTGCACTGGGTGAGGTATGAGCTAGGTACAAGCTAACACCTGTCACCGCACGGAATCCAGGAACTAGGCAAGCAGGGACAGCAAGAGGTCCCCCCGCACACACACACACAAAAGAACTCGTATGGCCCCTGCACTGCCACTAAGTCACTGCCCAGCCCAGCCCACTCCGCCCCAGCAACCACCATTTGGCCCAGGACTTTATTTTAGGCTCTGGGAATGGGATGGGGGAGTGAGTGGGCACAGCTGATTCCCCTAACAGCTGAGCCACACACACATCTCCGGCTCTTCACGAGGGGCCTCAGGACCTGGCTGAGCTAGATTCTAACTAGGATCCCCTCCAGCCAAAATCTGAGAGGAGCCAAGGAAGAGCCAGAGCCAGAAACACAGAAGGGGAGACCAAGAGGCTAGCCGAGGAGAGATGGGTGAGCCAAACGCCTTTGGGAAAGGCCGGCGATCTTACTGGGCCTCGGCTGGGCGCACTTGCCCTCCATACCCACCGCCCAGGCCTCGTACTCCCCAGAGCCCTGGAGCGACAGTGCGCCCCCCACCCCACCGGAGGCCCAGCGGGGCTGCCCAGCCGGTTTTCAGCACACCATCCTCCGCCCCGCTCCTTGGGGCCCGCGTAGTCCCAGGCGGGGGGCGGGGCACAGGGATACGGGCGAATCCCGCAAAGGGCTCTTACCTCCGCGCGGGCATCCGTCCGACCAAGCACAGTTTGCCGCTGGGACTGCGGGGTTGGGGAGGCTCCCACGGGTTCGTATCGCGCCTCCACTCCCCCCTCCACCCCCTCCCCGGCCCGAGCCCCTAGATCCTTCGGTGGCACCGAGCGGGGACACCGGGACCAGGGCACAGGCGCCGCGCCGGCGGGAGGAGGAGGCTCCTGCGGGGCGCGGCGGGGCGGGGCGGGGCGGGGGTCTCTGCTGGGCCCCGCCCGGGAGGGGGACGTGGGAGCGATTATGCCAGAGAACAAAGGCGGCCGGGTAAGGCTCAGCGCCCCCCCCCGGGCCTGGCCCTGAACTTGAACTTGTACTTGACACTTTGTCCGGAAGATGGCGGGGAAGCCCATCTGAGCTGGGACGGGGCTCTTCCGGCCACCTTCCGTCCTGGGGAGGAGGCAAGCCCGCCCTTTTCTGCGCCCAGAGGGAGCCAGGCATCCTAAGGCTCCCGGCGCGCTCCAAACAATCTTGGGCTCGTGAGTCCTGAGATCCCCGCGTTCCCTCGGAGAGTTGGAGTGCGGACGAGGTCCTGGGTCTCCGGGCCAGAGGAGTAGGCCGGGGCCCTACGCCGCGTCCCCCTCCCTCGGTCCCACCCTATCCCGGGCCTGGCCCGCCGCCCTCGCTGCGCGGGGCAGGCCGGATTCTCTGCACGTCGCGTCGGCGGCCGCTATTCAGCCGCTAATTGAACGTTAATGGCAGGTGCGGATGAGGTCACCGGAGCTGGCTTTTCTCACACATTTTTCATGCAAATTCGCGAAACTCTAAACAAATTTGAATAAAAAGCTCTTTGTGCCGCGCGCCCCCCAGTCGTCTCCCTCCCGCTCGGGGTCCTTACTCCTCCCGGTGCCCTGGGGCTCGAGCCGGGAGCCCCGGGGAGCGCCGCCTGCCGGTCAGTGGTTCTGCCCTACTAGTGGTCAAACGCGGCCCGGGCTGCTGGGGGGCGAGTGAAAGATGTTTCATTTGGGGTCGTGGGCCCGGGCTAGGTTGATGGGGCCTTTAGGGAGGTAGTGTGTGCAGTTAAGTGCCTGGCATCTGGACAGACAAACGTGACTGTGCTGGCATCCTGGCTGCAATCCCCCCTCCCCCACCACACACGGAGCCACACGGGCCACTTTGGATGGCCAACTTGGCCTCACTCTCGTTCTTGGTTAAATAGGAATAAGGATAGTGCCCAGTTATGCACACAGATGTGAGGATTAAGCCACGATTTAATACACAAACTAGCACTTAGAATAGTGGCTGGCACAGTAAGTCCTGATTATTCTCTGCAGTCCAAAGGCCTTGTGAGAATGAATGCTGTGATGAAAGCAGGGTTGTGAATTTGCTCATACATGAAAAAACTTATCAGCGGCTTTCAAGAGACTCACCACCCCCTGCATCCCATTCTGGTCACAGAGATGAGATCTGGAGGCCGACTCCACTGCTTCCCAGCTGTGTGGCTTTGCCTATTTCTTAAGTCTCTCTGAGCCTCTGTTTCCTAGTCTATAAGACAGAATTCAGTCTTATGGGGTCATTGTGAGAATTACATGAGAAGACACTGATGGAGGTTGAGAAGGAGCGTGGGGGCTAGCTCCCAATCCAGAACCTCCAGGACCCCTCTCCTGAGGGCAGGGCACCCTCAAGGCAAGGTAGGCCTTGCACTGGCCATGACCTTCACTTCTTGCCCAAATGACCCTAGCTCAGGTCAAGAAGACAGACTTTCCCAGCCTTGTAAGACTTCTTGCTCCATCCTTTGCACCCATACCAGTGTCCCCACCACACCGCAAGACACAAGCAGTTGTTTTTGCTGGTGGCGGAGTGCTACTTTCCTCACTCATGTCCTCCTAGAAAAACTGACCAGAGACACGGAAGCCTTTGCAAAGAAAATTTATTCGTTGTAGGCTGCAAGAAAGGCAGGGGGTTCACAGCATAGGAAGAGACCTCTCCCAGAGCTGGCCCTAGTACTCCCTCAGAACCTGTGGGGCTTGGAAGGGTCCTGGTGATTCAAGCTACCTGAGTGCCATCTCTGCCCTCCTACTTACGCTTCTCCAGCCTCAGCCTTCCCAGAGCCCCACACCAGGCCAGCCTCTGGGAAGTACTGGAGCAGGCCTCGGAGCAATCCTCATTTTCCTGCCAAGGACCCCAAGGAACAGCCAATCCTGCAGGAATGCAGATGACCAGCAGCCATGGGCTCCTATCTGTATGAGGCTCTGTAACCCTGTAAACCCCTCCTCTCACCCCACTGCCCAGTTCAGGTTTGGGCAAAACCCAGGGGATGGCATTAGGTGGAATTGCAGGAGAAGCCCAGCTAAAAGACTATTTGAGGTGACCCTGCAGGGGAAGGGTTAATGTCTCTATATGTGGGTGCCGGCAAGGGGAGTCTGCAGCTTTAGGGACCTCCTATAAGTGGCCAAACAGGATCTCTTTGGGGTCAGAGTACAGACTTTAAAGTCAAAGAGACTTGGTTTTGATCTCAGTTCTGGCACTTACAAGCTGTGTGACTTAGGACATGTAACTTAACTTTTCTGGGCCTCGGTGTCCTCATCTGTAAAATGGGTGTACCAACGACACCCACACCCCATAAAATGATGAGGAGTCACTGCACTAAGGCATGTGACCTGGGACCTGACAGCCTTCTGCACTTGGTCACTCTTATTGCTTTTTTCCTTCCCAGTCCACTGGCCCCACAGCCAATTTGAAGTGATTGTAGCTGTGCCCAGGCCTCAGGGACCAGGTTTCCCAGGCCCCTCTGGACAGCCCCATTACGCCTCTTTCCCTGCCCCCTGCCCCTGCTCCCTCCCAGGCTACTGAGGCCCTACTGAGAGCTCTCAGGCTGCTGCAGCCCCCGACCTAAGGCAGGTGTAGCCTGACCCTGCCCCCAGGGAGGGTGGTGTGCGGCATTACCTCTCAGAGACACCTTCCAGGCCATTTACTCTTTCAGGGATGAAGTAGGGGTGGCAAGTGCACTCCTGGGCACCCGCACTCTTCTGCTCTGTGATGTCTTTCTCTCCAGACACATGCTGCTTATGCAAATAGGCCCATTCACAGCCCTGTTCCCCATCCCCCAGCACGGTGATACTTCTGCGCTGTGGCCAGATGGGAGCACTTCCCAGTTCACCATGTCCAACACCTGGCATGACCCTGGTGCCTCTAAAGGCCTCTTCCCCCAAACAAGCAGGTCCTCAGGGCAGAGGGGCAATGTCTGCCCAGAAGGAAACTGGGAGCCAAGACCTATCCACCATCCCCCACTCACCTCCCCTGTCCCTAGCCAAGCTCCTGGCTCTGCCCTTCACCTACAAAGGAACTCCAACAAACCAATTAACCTCTTTCGATTTGGTGCAACTGGAAAAATGACATCCACGTAAGCAAGACCCAGAGACAGTAAGCCTGGCACTTAGTAGGTTTTCGATTAACACTAGCAACCATGATGATATGTGATTATTAGGCCCCAAAATGGCCCGTGGCTGAAGCCACCAGTGACTGTGGGATACTTTCTCCAGCAACATCACTACCACCCTCTTAAAGCACCCACGCCAACTTAGTTGACAGAAGTTAAGCCTATTACATTGAACCGCTTTACATCTTCCAATAAAAGTACCTTAGGAGCATGAAAAGAAAATATAACAGTATAGAAGAGTGCACTCCCCCATCCCCACTCCCCAGAGGTAGACTTCCAGTACATACTTCCAGAAACGATCTGTATATAAGCATACTTATGACTCAGTTTTAAACATCTACAAATAAGATCATACTCTACAGCCTGTTCTGTAACTTATTCTATTCACCTTATCATGTGAACTGGCCAACCTTCCACATCAACTCATATACGGAGATCTACCACACTGATTTTTACAGCTGCATAGGTATTCCACCGTATGAACGGACCACAGGTTCATGTCCATTTCTTTACTCTTCAAAAGAAATGCTCTGATGAACATCCTTGTATATAATTCTTTGGCAACTTTTACAAATATGCCCACAGAGTAAATAGTGCCATTTGTTTGTGACCAAGTATGTGTGCCTTTTACATTTTGATATTGCCACATTTCAGAAAATATTGCAAAATTTACACTCCCTAACCGACAGTGCTGGAGAGTGTCTTAAAATAGGCATGTGATGGTACAGAAACCACAAAATTAGCCAGCCAGTCGGTACAGGCCACAAAGGCACCCACAGAGCCAGCGAAGAATGGCACTGGACTAGCATGTTGTCCTTAGGGTGGTTCCCAGTGGTTTCTTCCTGTCCAGGCCTGTATAGGCTGGGGGCCCAAGGGTGCCCTGAATCAGAAGGGAGTGGGGCCCACAGGGGGACTGGGTGGAGGGCAGGCCAGCATGTCCCGCCTGAATGATTTCCTGCAGCCATTGTCTCTGCCCTGCCTGGTCTCCTTGGGGGGAGTTTATTCAGGGGCCTTTGGAGAGGGGGCTAGGCAGGAGGAGGGTGTGCAGTCCTCACCAAAGGCACCCAGGAATGTGTCATAGGAGGGGGAGAAAGAGGAGGGGGGAACTCATCCCTGGGAGAGACGGGACGTCAAGAACCCCTGACTAATGAATAGCGAGTTTGCCCTTGAACCTCACTGGGTTTCGCCATTCTCAGGCACAGAACAAGAGCTGAGACACGTCTGAGCCCAGCTGCACAGGGACGGCGGCGGTTCATCTCAGACACTTTGACAGGCTGGGCCTTTTCCCTGCATAGCTCAGATCTGCCTCCGTGCTCCCCTGGCAACAGCACAGCAGCATGGCTCCCGGGTCTAGGCCCTGCCTGCTGTGAGCAGGAGGAGGGAGGAAGAGGAGCACCAAGGGGAGGACAGCTGGGGAGAGGGAGTCATTAACTCCTAAGAGGCTGGAGTCCCTTGCTTTGGCAACTTTGCCAGTATGCTGCCCTTGGTCCCAGGCTGGAAACACGGTGAAGAGCTTCCGTTTGCTGGAGGCCTACCCAGAATGTTCCATGCACCTCAGACCCAAACAGACCTGACTAGGTGTGACAAGAACAGACACGGTGAAGAAGTAGATGCTAGGCCAATGGGCCAAAGACAAAGGCCCTTAAGGGATGGGTTGGGGTACATTTTCCCAGGTCCCCTGCCAAGTCCCAGATGGGCAGATTATGGGGTCCTCCTCCTCCATCCTGGCCCCTGGCTGTTACAACTTCAGGACAGAGGCTACTTGTTCTCCCTTCCTGCTGGGCTTTTTTCCCTTCTGAGGCTCTTGCATGTCCTGGGGTGGCTTGGCTCTGTATTCCAATCCTGTGACCTTGGCAAGAGCCACAATTCCTCTGTCTCCATTGTCATAAAAGCTGAAAAGAGGCTGTCCGATCATACTTCACTTCACAGGACAATCTAAAGATAAGAGAAATAATATGTGAGAAGCTTTGCACTCTGGGGAGGAAGGTGTCCTATAAATCTCATTCAGGTATTATTAGGGCTGAAACTAGGTATTTCTGCCCCCTGGGGAAGGAGGGGCGGTGGGCTGGGGGGAGGAGCTCCTCCAAGGTTGTCTCAGCACTTCCCCAGCAGGGCAGTCCTGAAACTCAAAGGCAAGAGGTCAGGAAAGTTAAGGGTTTATGTCTGTGGCCTTTGAAGCCTCTGGGTGCAGCTGGCACTAGAAGGTAAGAGAGAACATCATTTCAAGGTACTTTATCTGTGTTATTTCTATGCCTCACTGCAACTTTATGAGAAAGGTGTGGTTATCTTCATGTTAGAAATAAGGAAATAGAGGATCAGAGAAGCTAAGGAGCTGGCCCAAGGTCATGCCAGTCATATAAGATGCTGAGCCCACATCCATGTATCAGCTGTACCAGTGGAAGAGCCTCCTAGCAGGGGTGCTGCGGAGAGGGGTCAGCACCAAAAAGTAGTGTTTCCCCCATGGTTGCTTCTCAGGGATTGGAGCTTTTGAGTCTAAAGCTTCTGGCCTAAGGAAGTGGAATGGGACAAATCCCAAAGAGAGCACTGCAAACCCACCTTGAGGGCCACCTGAGCAAACAGAGCCACCAAGGCAAATGCCATGCAGAGCAAACAGAAGTAGAACAAAGGACAAAGGCATCCAGATTAGAGGCTGGGAGTGCACCTAGGTGAGACTCATGCTCTCTGCCCAAGTCTTGCTCCAGGACAGGTTACTGCCCAGCCCCACATCCCTTGCCAGCAGTGAGCTGGGTTTTCATTTTTGTAGCCTCTAGGTAATGGTGCCTCATTGCATCCCAGGCCAGCTTGAACGGGACAAAGCTAACTATGTTTCCTGTGAGCCAGGGGGCTGGGAGCAGGGGTTACTGGCAGGTAACAGAGTAGAAAAGGCAGGAAGAACTCCCAGATGAAAAAATGCAGGGCTAAAAGGGACCTCAGATACCATCTTATTCAATGTTCCTTTTCTTTTTTCTCTTTCTCTTTCTTTTTTAAGAAATAGGATCTGGCTCTGTCATCCAGGCTAGAATGCAGTGGTATGATCACTGCAGCCTTGGAACTACTGGGCTCAAGTGATTCTCCTGCCTCAGCTTCCCAGGTAGCCAGAACACTTGGCTAATTTTTTCATTTTTTAAGAATAGGGTCTCACTGTTCTCAAACTCAGGCTGTTCTCAAACTCTTGGCCTCAAGAGAGCCTCCTACTTCAGCCTCCCCAGTTACTGGGATTACAGGTGTGAGCCACTACACCTGGCTCAATGCTACTTTTCTGGATCCAGTAAAGGAGGTGGCTTGCCCAAGACCACTCAGTGGGAAAGTGGGCTAGAGTCCAAATCTCTGACTTCCAGCTAGGTAAGGTTGTGTCTTCCTATGCCCTTGTCACTTAACCAGACCACCTTAGGCCCTCAAAGGCATTAATTTCACCCAACAAGGCAAAGAGATAGGCCAGGTAAAATAAGTCAGTGTTGGCTAAGTGCACCACGTGTCCAGGTGTGGCCTCAGAAAGCCTGGGGCTGGGGGAAGACGCTGCCTGCCTTGAGGCCAGAATCTTTCCATGATGATAGAACATGGCTCCACACTACCCCAACACCACACTCCCATACTCCACAGTCAGATAACAGAAACCATGAACTTCCCCAGGCTGATGAAGAAACAGGCACGAGGAGTTAGATCAGAGAACAAACAGACCCTCTAATCCTGACCCATGGTGCTTTTGAGAAGAAGGGACAGGAAGGAGGGGGCAGCTCTAGGGGACGTGAGGATGGCGAAAGCCCACAGAAGCAGCTCTTCCCCAGAGCCTGGTGGCAGGTCTGCTGCCAGCTTGGGGCAGGAGCTGGGAAGGCCCTCAGCTCACTGCCCTCTGCTTCCGGGTCCTCTTCCAGGTCAGGCAGGGTGCCCCATGCTAGGCCTGACTTGCTTGAATGCAAAGATCTCAGGATCCCGCATCCTGCAACCTCCTCAGGAGCTGCCCTCAAGGGATGTCTGTATGCTTGCTGATAAATGGACTCATGATGGGGCAGAAAGATATAGGGAGAAGTTCTGCTCAGCTGTGCCCTCCTCCCTGGGTGATGATTTGGGCCAGGTGTCATTCTGACTGGTTGGTGCCCAACCTGTACAGGTGGTTAAATATTCTGAATATCACCACTGTCCCCATTCCCCAAATCTCAGCTATCTTAAGTGACCTGGAGAAGCTTAACTCCTTCATCTCTGCCCCATATCTAAGGGAAAAGGAGAAGAAAAATTAACCCCACTGAGTGTTTCCCGTGTGCCCAAGAGTCTTCATAGCAGCTCCAATGGAGGTAGGGATTATGATGCTCATTTTACAAATGAGGGTTTGGAGGCTCTGAGACATCCAGGGTCTGCTGCAGAGTCATGGCAGAAGCAGAGCCCTGGGCCTCGACCCACAGCATCTTCTCCTCTGTCCCTACCCTCCAGCCAAGGTCCAAGGCCTGGGCTGCCCCGGTTCTGCTGAGCTGGATGCCTCAGAACCACTTGCGCTTGCATTTGCACCCCCACCTCAATTTCCTGTCTCTCCTGGCTTCTCTCAGGGCCCATCGCTGAGAGAATCAGGGGTTCATCTCAGGGGTTCTCTCCCCTTCTCATCTAGGCAGGGGAGCCATTCCACCCGGCATACTTGCTTAGTTCTAGACAAATCCCCACCCCTGACTACCCCAACAGCTGACCAGGGGGATGATACCTGTGACTTACAGAGACTTCTTCTAACTGGGATTGGCAGCCAGAGGATTTGGGAGCTGGGGTAAGGGTGGGGGCAGCTACCAAACAATGAAATCTTAGCCATGCAGAAAGGGCCAGAAAGCCCTAATCTTGGGAACTTTCCTCTTGAGCGACAAAGAGGAGGTGATGCCCGACTGCGTGCAGGGCCTGTGCCTCAGCCCTCCACTGGGCACCACCCGTGCTGGGTCCAGCCCTGCCGGGCCACTGCCTTAGAAGGAGGAGCTGCGCTCGGAATGTGATTCTCCAGCTTTGCATGACACTCTGTTAGCAGAGTGCGACTCCCAAGATCCCCTGTCACCTCCTAAAGCCTCTGCCAGCCCGCCCCCCAGCACCACAAGGATCACCAGATTAAGGAGCTCAGAGCTACAGCTGAGGCGGCTAAACCCTGGGAGGTAGGAATGGGGAGGGGCAGGGAGGGCAGTGGGCAGCTCTCCCAAGGCCCTGCTGCCCTGCCTCTTCTCCCAACCGATACTGTAGGCAACTCTCTCACTCTATCCTTGCCATGAAGCGCTAACTTCTATCCTCTTTTCTTCATTGAGCTTTGGAATTTACCACCAGTTATCCAGCTTGAGTTAGGAGCAGCTCAGGGAGACAGGGAAAGGGGTAGAAAAAGAGGTCCCCCAGAAACAGAAATAGAAAGAGAGAGAGAGGCGGAGAGGGGAAAGGCAGCCCAAATGGAAGGAACAAGTGCACTGCATGTGGGAACTGGCTGGCACCGCAGCATGGGAAGGAAGGTCCCTGCTGGAAGGGAGGCCCAGGGTCTCTCCCCTGCCTGGCCTGAGTGGCTACCTGAGGTTAATTCCAGAGGCTCCTTGTGGGTGGCTCTGGTCAGCTGCCTGGCCCCAGTGCAAGATACATCCCACAACACCTGATGAGAGAGTGGGAGGGTGCCAGAGATGGGGAGGCTGGCAAAGAAGGAGCCAGACACCCTGACCGCTGAACCTGAGACCCCCGCACTGAATAGCAGGGTGATGCTTCATCCCACTCCCCACCCACCACCTGGGGTTATTCTGAAGGGCTATGGAGAGTTCCCACTCTGAAGTTTCCAGATGAACCCTGACCCTTCTCAGCCCTGTCCCCTGCCCACCCCCACCAACCCCATCCCAGGACCTGCAAGGGGCAACCAGGACACACCCAGGGCCCTGGCCAGCAGCTGCTATCCCTCCAGCTTCTTCTTTGCCACTGCCAAGCTCCCTTCTGCTGGGCCAGGGCCTGCTTCTCACCACTGCAGGGTAGGGATGGGGAAGGGCTCCTCTGTGAAGACCTGGGAAGACAGGCTCTGCCTGCTCCTGGTCCTCCCCACACTCTGAAAACAGGAGCCCACACTGAATATCAACAGGGATGAACTCCTTCCTGCAACACTCCCCTCCACCCCAGCCAGAATTCATTAGTCCCATTCCTGTCATTGTGCTACATCAGTGAATGCTACATCAACACAGTTTTGAAGTGATCACCACTGCTACCACCATCAGAGGTTTTCTGAGCTAGAAGAGAGCCAAGAGATTCCTGAAGCTCCACTCACTCCTCTTGCCAACAAGAAAACTAAGATTCAGGAGTCGGGGTCACTTGGCCTGCCTGAGGTCACATAGAAGCTGGTAGCAAGGACATGCCTTACGCCCTGTCTACCAGACCCCTTTCCTTTCAGGGCCAGGCCTCTAGGAGGTCCTAAAAGGGAGCTTCTCCATCATATCCCACACAAGATCCTGGTCCAACCACAGGCGGCAGGGGTCTGGGGACAGGGGAGGCCGTAATGCGATCAGCAGACTGGCCATCTGGCTCGGGGACGGAGAAGAGTCCAGACTGGCTGTTTCTGCTGCCCGGTCCCGAGGGGCCCTGTGTCGCAAGAGACAGACTGCCAGATGGACAGGCACTGGCCTGGGTCTGGGAGGAAGCCAGTGAGTCCCAGTAGTCAGAGCTGACCAACTTTCAAACATGGAGGGGTGGCAGGGAGAAGGCACAGGGAGCAAAGCCAGGCCCCCCAGAGGTCAGAGAGACAGAACTACAGGATGGGAAAGCCGTGATTCCCCAGCCAGGCTCAGAGCCTGGCTCCCCAGGTAGGCCCAGCCCATATCAGCTCCAAGACCCCAGCCTACTGGCCAGCCACAAACAGGGCCCCCTCCCGGGGAAAGGCAAACACATCTCCCCTGGCACCTTCTCAGACATGCATGCAAAACTAATTAACATGGGGAGACATGCGAGCAGCCGGCCAGCTCCACACCCTCGAGTCCACGCAAACAAGGCGAGCCCTTGTCCAGGGGACGTGCACAAAGCTTTGTTGCTAATTTAGGCATCTGTCTCTGTCTGGTCTGGTCCTCCTGCCTGCGCTGGGGTTTTTCCCAGCCCCTTGGACAATGCTGGGAACAGGCCCACCGATCCCTTATTCAAATCACACCCGGGACAATGAGCTCATTGTGCAGGCCACAGAAAAGGGGATGCTGGGGGTGGGAGTGTATAACGGGGCATCAGGGAGTAGAGAAGGGTGGGGGGTGTAAAGAAAATGGGAACCCAGGAAAGTGTTTACTAACACAGCCCCTGCAGCTGCCTTGGGCCCCCTTGCCCCCCTGCCCCCCCTCAACCTGGCTTGGAGCTGGGGGGAAGTGCTGGGACTCAGAGGTGGGGGGCCCCAGAGTAGAAGAAGGCTCAAACCTTCATTTTGTTGACCTCTCCCACCTTTAACAGTTTATAGCTACCTCTGCATGTCCAAGGCCAGGCACATTTTTTAATAGGGTGGTTTGGGGGTTTGTTTTATTCTTACTTCAGGCTTAAATGTGCAGATCCCAACTGCAGAAGAGGAGACAGGGCTGAGGGGAGAGATGCTGGTGGCTGTGCAGGGTGGGACCTGCTGTCTCGGCCATTGTCTTCAAGCAATGTTTCATGTTCTCCTCCTTTCCAGCTAATAAATTAGAGAAGAGACGGTGAGCTGCGAAGGGAGAGGCTCCCCATGGATGGCGGCAGAGGGCTAGAAGGCAAGTCTGGGAGCTCACGGCAGATGGGGCTCACCCAGCCCAGCGGCTGCTCACACCACACCTGGTCAGACACTCGCATGCAGCCCCACACAATGAGCAGCATGGAAAAAAATACACACACACACACACACACACACACACACACACACACACGCATCTCCTGAGGTCCCTGAGGAGGACAGCTGGGCTTTGAAATGCCCTTCCTCTTTACCGCCACCTCCCCCAGCTCCTTGTTGCACTGAGCGCGCCTAGACAGGCCGACAGAAACAGACACACATAGCCTGACACTGACACGCAGACACAAAAAAAACCATGCACACCCAGAGGCAGCCCCAGACACACACACTGACAATGGTGTAATGAATGCAGGAGGGCAAGTGCATTCAGTCAAAAGCCCACACCCTGGCTGCCCAGCACTGGGGTGGCTAAAAGGTGATGGAGAGGCTGTGAGCTGGCTCTCCCAAAAACCTCCTCCCCAGGGCTCCCAGGACTGCTGCCGGTGACACAGGAGGTGAAGTAAAATACCGTTTCAGGCATCCAGATGGAAGCAAATTCCTCTGGAGACAGAAAAGCATGGAACTGGTCTCAGCCCTTAGTCAGTATTGGCTGAACTGTCTGGAATTTTTTTTATAATAAAAGAAAGGGTGCTCAAAACTCATCTGAAGTCCCCTGCATTTTGAGACGATATACCTTGAAGCTGGGGCAAAGTGGAGCCTTGCTAGGACAGTTTCCTACTGCAGTACAATCCACAGGCTACAGTCATCCTTCCTGCTGTTAAAAAAAAAATTCTGTGAAGGGTATCGTAGGATGAAGAGGAACACAAATGGTTAAAGTATCAGAAACTCTTTAAAATGTGTTTCTGGGGATCCCTCTACCATCCCAGAGGAATGGAACTGTAACATGTTGAACCATAAGAAATTGCCAATATTTGACTATTTTTCATCAACAAGAAAGAAATTTCATATGGGTCAACCTGGTAAGTGCTGGTTCCAAGGACCACCAAGGATATTTTCCCTTTTTAAATTAAATTACATTTTTTTTAGAGACGGGTCTCATTCTGTCACCCAGGCTGGAGTACAGTGGCGTGATCATAGCTCACTGCAGCCTGAAACCCCTGAGCTCAAGTGATCCTCCAGCCTTAGCCTCCCGAATAGCTGGGACTGCAGGTGTGCCATCATACCTAATATTTTCCCCTTTTAAATGTCCTTCCCAAACTGGGTTATTTTCTCCCTGAAGTAGAAAAAAAAAACAGTATTCCAAAACCTAAATCTACCTTGGACCATCCATCTACAGCCACATAAATACACTGCACAAAGAGGTCAGAACAGCAGCTGGAAAGAACTGCGAACACACATGCGCAGCCCAATGCCCATGTCAGGAAGGAACCCACCTTCAGACTCTTGCCACCGGGGCTTCTGCTTCTCTTTTCGCTGTCTTCTGACTCCAGAGCATGTCCTAGATGGGGACAGAGGAACATGAGAGGGAAAACAGAACTGGAAATGGGTCAACTGCGCACCCGGCCTCTCCAGCACTGGACTCTGCACGTGCTCTGCCTTGGAAGAAGCATCTCCTGGGCAGTCTCATAACTGAAGCACATGCTGTCCACTGGCTGCCATATTCAAACCCAAGGCCAGCCTCTGTGCATGCGGTATTCATCCAGCAAACCACCTCCAGGAGACCCAGGCAATGGAAGCCGGAGGGTGTGGACGCCACCCAGCGTAGGGAAGGCCTACTCATTGCCAGCATCTGGACATCCACTGGTCCCGTTGCTCACTGTCACAGAAGTCAGAGCACACTGCGTCTTCCTGGGAAATCACCCTCACCAATCTCTCTGGGGCTTCCTAGGGAAGGAAAGGTTGGAGGCTTCAGAAGCAGAGCCCAGCACTGCTCTGTGTCTCACCACCTGCTTCTCACCTGGCCACAGAGGAAAGCCTGTTCCATGCGTGCCCATCCTGCCCACCAGCAGCAGCTGCTGAGGGTGCACACTTCCCCTGAAAACCTTTCTGGTGGCTAAGGACCTGGGGCTCTATTTAAAGATATGGAACCACCTTCTATACAGCCAGATGTGGCACAGTCCCTCTTATATCCTTGACAAATGCTATGTAATTTCTGAGAGCTTTATCTTACTAACATACACACACCAACCTCAACAAAACCACCAAAATAGCAATAATAATAAGATGAAACTTACTGCCCTTTCCACTCCTGGAAGGTGAATGACAGAGGCTGCAATTTGGGCTTTAGGGCTGGTGAATTCATTTGCAGGACTAGGCCCAACCCAGGGGCTATAAGAATGACTCCCCAAAACCTCAGCTGTATGAAGAGAGGCAGCTGGGTATCCCCCATTGCTAACTTATATGCAGGCCCACCTGCCAAAAACTGTACTCAGGATCCAACCTGGGTGCAAGGTAGCATGAGAACCAGGGTAAAATTCTAGCCTTCGTGCTCTGAACAGCATCTGATTTCTTCTGAGGAAGAGAAACCTACACGTGAATTCATCAAGATGTAAGTTATTGTTTGATTACATTTAAGATGTTTCCTACCAATCTCACAAGTAAATCTCCATAGATTACTGCTATTTTGATTTGTAAAATCAAACTGCCTTTTAGTCTGGGTGTGGTGGCTCATGCTGTAATCTCAACACTTTGGGAGGCCCAGGTGGGAGGATCGCTTGATGCCAGGAGTTTGAGGCCAGCCTGGGCAACAAAGACCCTGTCTCTACAAAATAAAACATATTTTTTTATTTTTATAAAATAAATATAAAAGTCTGGCTGTGGTGGCACATGCCTGTAGTCCCAGCTACTCTGGAGGCTGAGGCAGGGGAATTGCTTGAGCCAGAAGTTCGAGGTTATAGTGAGCTATGATCAGGCCACTGTACTCCAGCCTGGCTGACAGAGCAAGACCTTGTCTCATAAAAAAAAAAAAAAAAAAAAAAAGGTGTCTTTTTAAATGAAGAAAGGGAAACTGAAATGTCACAATTCTATACAGAAACAATGCAATCTAGAGAATTACAGTTCTAGCTGAGGCTAAACGACAGCTTAAGGTCATCACGGGCAAAGCATGACATGGCCTCTGACCCTGTTCTCCCAGGCTCTTGGGACATGGAGAGGGGCAGGAAAGCCAATAAGCCACAAACTGATGATAAGTGTCAGACCCGGAGTGCCTGCTAGTCTAGCACGCCACCCCCGCTAGCCCGGCCTTCCAGCTCTAGATGGATGTATGCCTTTCCACACCACAAGCGAAAGTGCTGGGCCAGGGAATGTGGTTTCCCTCTCTGTATCCCCAGGGCCTTGCCCAGAGGCTGACACATAATGTGTGGTCAATAGACATTGAATGAATAAATGAGTGTGGTAAGAAAAAATACAGTGTGGCATGGGAAGACTTCCAATTTCAGAGCCGCGCAGTTCCCTTGCAAAGTGGGAAATGGCTCCACAGCACAGCCCTGGGGCTGCTGACGTCCAGGCCAGGAACCATAAGAGGTGAGTGGCACAGGATGGGTGTGGCTGCTCAGCTCAGGTTGGCCTGGGCAGCACAAGGCCTGACAGCCTCCAGTGCCCACCCATCTTGCACATGGTGACCATACCAATTCTCTTAGCCTGCTCCCTACCTCTGTCATTCTTATCCTCCACCATCTGACCTGACCTATACCCAAATCTCAGGCCCAGTCCAGCAGGACTCCTCCTCCCGCTTCATCTCCACCTCTAAGGTCCTGGTCAGAGAGTTCTCCCCATTGGTAGGGATGCCCTGTCTTGCCCTCTCAACAGCCTAGAAGACCTGTTTGGGCACAGTGAGGCTTCTCCGCCTCAATCTAATTCCTCTTCTCTTAACTCCCAAGGACAGAGACAAAACATCAAAACAATCTGCCCCTTGGATTTTTTGTGCTGCCTTAGGCTAGCAATACTAGTTTCTCTGCTCCTAGAGGTCAGGGGTTCTCCCTGCACTGCAGAGCTTATGGCTGGTCTGTAAACACCACAGCTTATTGTAGAGTGACTAACAGAGAGCTGACTGACCCTGGTCCCTTGCTGGCCACCTTACCTGGCCTTTACTCGTGACAGACCAGCAAGATGGGGGATGCATCTTGAGTGTCACAAGGTAAGTATTACTATTCCCAATTTTGCAGATGGGAAAACTGGCTCAGAGGAAGAGGGGAAGGGGTGTCCTGTGGGTTCTGAATTAGGTCAGACCAACCCCTCCACCTGGATACCCACTGGGCCACACTGCCTCTGCCTCACACCACCATGGTCTTGGAGTCTGTGACCCACAGTAGAAGAGAGAACAGTGGACTCAATACTGGGTAAAAGCTACAGATTCAAAGGGAAGGGGTGGCTATAAACTTGAGACTTGTTTCTTTACTCCCTTTTCCCCCAGCACTCATCAAGGATGTAACATGCCTTCAGAGGCATGTGCCACCTCTCCTAACCTAAGGAGACAGCAGGAGCTATGGTGCAGAACTGGGCAGATAGGAGGAAGGCTTGATATTCTCTGCTTAAGGACAAGATGAGATGGGACAGAGGATGTGGGCCCCCTTCCCTCCTCCAGAAGATCATACGTGCTACATCAGGGGGATATAACATTGCAGAAAGTAAAAGGCCAGCATCATCCCGAGCAGCCACAATCCCTTGGCACTGTGGGCAGGCTGGTAGGCTTGGGCCAACCCCCTAATTTTACAGACTGAGGCACAGCAAGGATATGGGGCACACAATTAGGAGATGAATCCAGACCGGGTGGTATGCTGCTCACCCCTCTAGCACCGCACCAAGGCTCCCAGGGGCCCAGCATGGAGCCCTCCCATCTTGATTCTCCAGGTGTACTGCCAGCCTCAAGCAGGAAACACTGCAGAGGCATCCTTTGGCAACGCAAATGAACTCATGCTGCTTCCCAAAGCCCAGGCTGATTCTCTGGGAGACAAGGACTCACTGGGGGCTGATAGTCCCTCCTATGCAAGGTTTGTAGCTCCTGTAACACACCCCATGCAGTCACCCAAATGGCATTTGGCTTAGAAAAGAAGGGCAAATCCCTGGTCAGATTTACTGTTCTTTTTTCTCCCCAAGAGATGGCCCTCAAAAGAGATACAATATACAAAGCATTAGCACAGAACCTGGCAGAGTCAGTGCTCAGTAAATGGTTCCTGTCCCCATCGTCATGACTCATTATGGCCTCCCCGATGCCCCTTCCTTACCTCCCAGGCTCATGTGAGGGGCCTTCTTTTTATAAACTCAAGGCTTACTGGAGCTGGAAGGCCCTTAACTCAGTCTAGGGTTTCCAGGGGAGGAAACTGGAGTTTCTGAGGGGGAAAGGGGGCTGGAGGCAAGCCCAGACCCACAGCCAGGGGTCCTCCAAGGGCAGAAGGCTAACTGAGGCCCCTCTGCCCTTTGACAGCAGTATGAGCCCAGCATCTCCCTGGAAAATCTCTCTGAGGCCCTCAGCCTTGGCAGGGAGCCAGGGCAGGAGGCCTCTCCAAGAAGACGCTGGCTCTGAGCCAAGACGCATCCCAGAAGCTCCAAGCTCACGGAGAGCAGCACAGGCTGAGGGGAGGAGGGGCAGCCAGGAGAGGGGCGACAAGGAGCCCTCGGGCCAAAGGAAACAAACCTGCTGAAAGTGGGTTTGGCACGAACCTGGGATGCATGGCTGCCTTCCCATGCCCTGTGGTTTCTGCACATCTGGGAGACTATGAAATCACTGCTAGGGACAGGGGAAGGAGGACGACCCTCCTGTTATCTACAGCTGTGCCCATTCAAACTCCACTGGGGCAGTGCTAAACCTTCATCCAAAGACTCTTCTGGGGTTTACCCATTGGCTGCCTTGTCCCCACCTTAAATGCTGAAAAATACAATGTTGCCTGCAGATTCAAGCCACGACTTCTGCCTCCAAGGACTGGGGGGTAATCCCCATTTAAAGGGCTGAACTAGGCACTCCTAAAAGCCCCTTAAGGCCCGAGGCTCTCTACTTGCCTCCTCTCTAGCTTTTCCATGGACCTCTATGCACAGAACCCTGTGTGGCCAGAGGCCTCCTGGGGGGAGATCAGGATTAGTTACTAAGCACTGGGGATGGAGGAGGTCTTGAGCATCTAGTGTAGACCTCACTGTCCAGTGAAAATATGTCAGTTCCAAGTATAATTTTAAATGTTTCAGAAGCCTCATTAAAAAGTAAGAATGAACAGGTCATTTTAACAATATATTGTACTTAACCCAACATTATCATTTCAACATGCCACACTGACCACATTTCATGAGATCAATAGCATGTGTGTCTAGTGGTTATCATAAAGGACAGCACAGCTCTTGACAACAGCAACTTCTCCCCATTTTCAGAAGAGGATGAGAATGTGGTCCAAGTATCTAAGAAAAGCACACAAGGATAGAAAGGGAAGCCCCAGCTGTGCCCATCAGCCTTTCCCTTCAGTTTCCAAATACATAGTCATGGCCTATGAAATAGATAATTTTATGATCAATCAAATTCAGGGAGACTGCAACATAAACCTATTTTGAAACAGACAACCCAGAAATGAGCAGAAATGAATATACTTGACATTACAAGGCTAAGGAACAAAGACCAACAGGAAGACACAAGAGGGAGGCTCTGGGAGACCTCTGCATTAGATGCCAGTCTTGCTAAGGACCTCTATTTGTACAATCTATGCTCAGGGCCACCTGGCTCCTATGGGGTGTAAATACACTCCAGCACTGGGTTTGGTGAATTTTCTACCATGTATCCCTGTAGGAACTACCCACAAAAGCTCCTCTCTGCTTTAGAAGGCAAGAACAAGTCGTGCATTTACCCAGTGCTTCTAGTCTTCTTACTCCGAGTCGCCATGCCAACACACAGTCATAATTACCGAGGAACGCGTCAATAGTGGCAGCATTGACAAAGACACTATATCAGGGCCTGTAAGCTAAGCAAGGTCAGGCTCCTCGAAGCCCCCCAGCTTCCTTCCCACTTCCTTTATTCCACTCTGATCCATTTCTTTCTCTTCGTTCTTTCTCTCCCACCCAGATGGTCTCTGATTATATTTTCTCTGCAGAGAAAGGAACTACAGCTCAGCATATAAAACACTTTTATAGCAATTGGGAGACAGGTTCTCCTTGGAGTCCTGATTTTAACTTGTGGGAAAAGTCACTTTAACATCCAGGCCTCAGTTATTTTGCCGTGAATGGGGAGAATATTTTGGATATTGCCTATTCAGCAAATGGGTGGCTGCATTTAATTCGCCTTCTAAATTCAGGGCTGATTTGTGTTATCTGGTCGACTCTAAGATCATCTTTCTGATCTGCACCAGAGGTACCAGAAGCTCAGGGAAACAAAAGGCAGTTCAGCTCAGAGAGGGAGCTGGTTTTAACACCTCAAGAACAGCAGGGCTTGTATTTCTCCCCAGGAAGGGCAAAAGTCTCAAAAAAGGAGCCAGGAGCAGCTGAACGGTGGGCTCTATCAGATTATAAAAAGATAAGTGGGACAGATGAGAACTATCAGGCTAAGTGACAAGCATCCTGAGGCCCCCAGTGAGAAACAGGACATGCACCCATTTAAAACGAGAGGTCAGAAAAAGGCAGACAGCCATCACCAGAGCCCTACACAAGAGCGCCCCAATTTCAGAACACCCAGTGCACCAACATCTGAACTTACAAAGGAGATAAATTGGAGGCTGATGATTAGCATCACAAAATGATTATTCCCTTTGTAAAAGGCTTCACTGCAGGACTGCTTTAAATAGTGCATTTAAACCATGATCTGATTTGCTAAATTCGATTTATACACATCTACTGCCTAAGCTGGCGTGGGGCTGTATTTACATGTCTTCCCTTGGCACAGAGGAGGGGAGAAGCCAGCCATTATTTGGGGCCTTTAATCCTTGTAGACAGTAACTAATCTGGGGAGCTGAACCCTGTTTTTCTTCCACAGCTGGGGCTTTAGCTGCAAACAAGCCCTAGTTACCTACTCTGCTTTGCCCATGCAGATTCTACCCAAAGATGACAGAATTTGGCCAGGATCTGTTGGAGCCTTTCTACCAACGGGGGCTCCCATCAAGAAGCATAACCCTCCCCACATCCAGGGGTGACACCTTTCCAGCCTAGAATTCCAGAGAATCTGGTCTGTTGCAGGGTCACTAAATTTATTCAGCACCTACAGTTATCATGCCAGGGATTCAAAGGCTACCTTTTGGGAGCCATGGAAATTTACTAATCTAAGCCACGTTCTGTGATTTGTACTTAAGCCATGGGAATCAAACCTGAGCAAGTACAGAAAGGCTGACTCTCCACCCAAAGAGGATAAAAGAATGAGTCGGCCAGGTCTCATGGCCATTGTGCTGGTGGGGAAACCTCCCTCAGTTCACCTAAAGGGACTTGCAGGTGTCACTGACAACATAGTCCCCCAAGACACAAATGACCCTTTCCTATAAGGTTCAATAATGTGATGGGGCAGTTAGGAATAGGATGACTGCCAAAAGGGAAAACACACTACCCACCTCGTACCACTTGCCAGGAGAGAGACCTAGGGAATTAAGGATCAGGAACCTAACATTAAAAAAAAAGGCCCCCTAGAAAACTGAAGTCAGGGACTTCCCCTCTACCACCGCCCCCATCCCCTCATTATCAGAAGTTTTAGCCCCACTCAATTATCAAATATTTAGACACCCACAATGATGAGTCCAGCCCAGCACTAGGAACTGGGGGCAAAGAAAGGAACAAGGCAGCATCCAGGTCTCAGCAATTTATAGTGAGGAATGGAGTCGCTAGACCACAATTAAACTATCTCCAAGTTGAGAAGCCCACTAAAGCCTGGTCATGAGAGGATGGGAACTGGACTGGGAGTCAGGACCCCTGGGTCTCAGTCCTCACTGTATGAGCTAATTTTGTGACCTTGGTGAAAATCACTTAACCTCTCTGGACCTGGTTCCTCATCCGTGACATGAGCAGTTGACCTACATAATCACTAAGCTTTACATTTTCTATAAGTCTTATGCAGGAAAAATGTTCATCTCTCTAAAATCCTGATGAGCTTCATTTTGAAAACAAGGTTATAAACCATCATGTTTGCTTTTCTTGGCTGCCAGGAAGCTCAGAACAAACACATTATTCAGTCACACAATCTATCTGAGGCCAGGGCTTTAGACTGGGAGGTTGGGGGATGCCTCACTTGTGAGGCAGGGCTGTGTGGGGATGGGGACTTGGATTCAGGAAAGGCTTGGTGCTTATCTGAAAGATGAAACCACAGCGGTGATGAATCCCTGTGTTCCTGTGTATGTGCAGAGAGACAGGTTGGGAACGCAGGCCTTGGGGCAGATAGCCCCGAGTCCACAACCGGCTCTGCCACATCCTAGCTACGGCAAAAGCCACAAATAGTGAATCATCACCCTACCTGTCAAGGTGAGGCTGAATTCTCCTGAAGCTGTTAGCACTAGCCCTGGCAAAAAGTGGGACTCCAAAGACACAAACTAGTATTACTGAAGTTTCTTGGTCACTCTGCATATAAATGCACACGCCTGGGACCTGCTTCGAGGTCGCGGTGGGTCAATGCGGACAGCTAGAAAAACAGTGATTGTGCTTAAATTATTCACGAGGGTAGGATAGGAGCAAAGAAGGCAGAAGAGCAGAAGCTCTGGCCCTTAGGCCTGGAGAGGGCAAGCTCAAACATGCAGCTCCACTGCCCGGCCCGCTTCATCCGCATCTGACCCCCAGCCTGCCCTGCGATGGTGTGAATGGAGCCTCCAGGCCGGTCCTCAGTCCCAACCACAGGGACGATGGAGGCCCACGGCTCCCTGGCCACTCTCAGCGCTCCGGACCACACTCAGCCCCAGGAGGGCGGCCACGGCCCGCTCGCCATTTTGGGCTTCGTGGTTCCAAGAAAACGCGGGAGTTAGCCACGCACCTAACACTCCTCGAAAATAATCAAAGAGCTTGAAGCGCTCGCGGTTGCAGACTCCAAAATAACGCCATTGTTCCCCACGCGGGGAAGGCCGTTTCCGCCCCTGCCCGGGGTGGGCAGCCCAGTCAGGGGGGCTCTTACCGGAAGCCTCTTTCTCCCCAGCAGCCACGACACGCACAGCCGGGCTCGGCGGCTGCGGCTCCGGGGACCGGGCAGCCGCGACGGAGGGTCCGGCGGGCTGTGGGCAGGAAGACGGCAGCCACTCTTTCCTCTAGGCCTCGCGGTAATGAATAACCGGGCATCTGTCTGGGGCGAGCGGACAGGGCGCTCTCGACGCGCGTTCCGCTTCTGTGGGCCGCGCGGCTGGACGAATGGGAGGAGGGGCTCAGCGGGCCCTTGGCGCGGCGACCTTCCGGGTGCCCACGCAGCCATCTTGCCGCCCCTCTTCGCGCTCTCAAAATGGCCTCCCGGGCCCGCTGTGCGGACCGAGGGGAAACAGCCGCGGGCCTGCTGGCGCCCTTCTCTCCTGCCTACCCAACCCCGGGCGTCCTGTGGGCGCGCGCCCCCCGCGCCCGCACTCTGGGGCCTGCGACGACCTTCCCGGCCTGATGGCCTGATGCCAGCTCTGGGCTGCGGGCGCTTCGGGTTCGGAAGGCCGTAGGCCCAGGCGGTGCCCTGGTGTAGACGAGGTGTGAATCTTGGAAAGGATTCTTTGCTTAGGCTCTTGCCGTACCGCGGCTTCCGAGTTTGTGCCTGTTTTTCCAGTTTCCCTAGCTCTGGATCCAGCTCCAGGCCCGCGGGGGCCGGCCTGATCCTGCGCGGGCGGGAAGCAGCCGCGCCACTCCCAGCTAAGGCTCTAGCAACCGAGCGCCTCAGGCTCCCGCGAACGCCGGGTGTCCAAGAAGCCGCCTCCGGTGCTAGAACCGCCAGAGCCGCCATTTACTTTGCGCCCACTGTGTGCTACACGCCGTGTTCTGCCAAATTATGTCACAGAGCACAACAAGCCAGCAGGTGTATGGTTAAAGCCATTTCACAGGTTGAGGGTGAGGGATGACATTGGATCCGGGCCTAGGGAGGAGGGGAGTCGTCTTGCTGGTGACCCAGGTAAAAACACAGGCGCACTACCAACCTGATCCTGGAATTTCCCAACCTCCCAACCCGCAGTCCACTCTCTGAGACATCTGGAGCGGAGTGCGGGTGCGGGCAGCCAGCTCCTCCACCCACTCCCTGGCTCTGGTCGCTCACCTCTCCTCCGGCGGGCCCTCCTACTAGTCAGTGCTGCTAGCTGCTGGCGAGTTCGTGACTGCGAAGAGGGCGCCGATCGCAGGTGGGAAGCGCGCCAAGGAGGGAGGCACCAGCAGGGGAGTAACTGTAAAATAGAGCGGAGATATCAGGCACCCCCCACGCCCGCCCAGAAACGTGCCCGGCCTTCTTGAAGGTGCACTCAGGGTCGCGTAGCGGTGGCCTGAGGGCGGGGACACACGCGTCCTCAGGTCACAACCACAGCCTGGGGAGGTTGCTGGGCACCGGTGGCGCCTCAACCATGCCCTCCCAGGACGCAGGAGAGAAATCGGGTGGGGCACCGGCTAAGGGGGTTGGGGGTCGTGTTCCGTCTCACCTGGAGCTCCTTACCTGCCAGCTAGCCACGCTTCCAGCCACCCGCTTGGCTACCGCAGGGGCAGGCGACGGGAGCGACCCTCTGCCTGCTCAGAGCTGGATCTCCGGAAATGGAGAACCGTGAGGTTCTCACCTGCGACCCAGCAAGCGCATCGCGGAGAACCTGCCCGAGACCACCAAGGGACAACCCTGGCTGCTCCGGACAGCGCCGCTCGTGAATACTGAGATTCGGAACCTTCCAGAGCTGGAACCCCAGGCCATTTTCCGCAGGCGCCAACTGTTAGAAATGCCATACCCCAAGCTAACCTGGGCCTCCCGGCAGCACCCCCTTGGCTCCCAGCCCCAGCCCCCTGGGCAACGCAAATCAGTCCAGATCCTGGTCCCTTCAAATCTCTAAAGACATTTACATGCTCCCCCTCCCCAGGCAGCCAAGCTGGGAACTTTACACCCATGTGCAACCCCGCTCCACAAGCCGTTTTTTTGGGGTCCCGATTCTCCCACTTCAGGCCCAGTGTGTATGGCATGCCCTGGGGGAAGAAGGCAGCTGGTCATCCGTCCTTCTGTGTGATTTGGGGTATCTACTGGGGTGTTCACTGTCTCCAGCAGGTGGAATTTCAAACTTCAGATCCAGACATTTATATGCATCCCTTGCCCCAGCCTGGAAAAAAGAGCTACCGTTTGCTCAGTGCCTACTGTATGCCAGGCACTTTATTTGCATATTTTACTTAATTCTCACATAACCCTTGGAGGTATGGGTACTATTGTCCCCATTTCACCCAGAGATGCCTGTGACTTGTCAAGGATACAGAGTCGTAAAGGCCAAAGCATGCAAAAGAACTCTGTCCCACAGGCATGGGCATGTCCCCAGCCCCCAGCTGCTGCCCTTCTGCAATCTGGACTGCCGGTTTATTAACCTGGTCCTGGATAGTCCTGAGTCTTCCACCCTAGTGCCTCAAATCAGGAATTGTCACCTCCAGAGGCAGAAGAGGCCACAGAGGCAAGCCAGTCCTGCTCTCCCCATGACCAGTGACGAGGAATTTCTGCAGCCCTTCTGGACACCCCAGAAGCATTTCCACCCCTCTTTAGCATAGATCCAGAACCTTGAGGGAAGCTGGTGAAGTGCCACACTGTCCAATAATTCACTCCCAATTTTTAAAATCCTAGTCTACACTGTCAAAGAAGTGGGTGATCTCTCATTATCAGGATAATTCAAGCAGAAGAGAATGAGATGCATTGTCAGGGAGGGCTTGGTATTTTTACACACAACCCCAGTGGAGACCTAAGGAGACTCAGGAGCTAAAGAAAGCATTCTGAGGAAACGCTCCTCTCTTGAGTTCCTTACAAGGGATTTCATCCCAACTGATATTCAGGCAAGAAACCCTAGCTTTCCCAACCTCCATTCTGAGAGGTGCTTTTTCTTTAAATGACGTTAATGGGACATTGTTTCTTCTTTTTCAATGAAACCTCTGTAAGAGACAACCTCCATTAAAATATATATATATATATATATATATATATGTATATATGTATATATATATATGTATATATATATATATATATATATATATCCATTGGGCCTGAGGTGAAAGAAATAAAAAGCAAAAGTGAAGGAAAAAAATAGGTTTTTCTTTTTCAGAAGAGGGTCAAGGACACAGCCCCCACCTGTAGGCTGCCTGAGATGGCAAAGATGGCAGCTGTAGTTGACATGGGTGGGTACCATCAGACTTGGGAGACATCAGGACTGGGGTAATGGAGAGGACAAGGGTCTGAAGTCACAGTCTCCAGAGGGCAGAGGAGAGAGGTCTTTCACAAAACAAACTCAGGTCGATGATGTAAGTCCAGCCTACCCAGGAGGGTGGCCATGGTGCCCAAATCCCTTTCCAACTCCATCTTCCAGGTCCATCTCCACCCCAACAAGAGAGAGAAGCCCTGAGAAATACCACCCAGTACAGTTCTGCAATACACAAAGAGCCGGGATTTGACCAGAGCTAGAGGAAAGCAGCTCCACTCATAGCACCCCCTAATTCATGGGGGGTGGGGGGGACAAAAACTAGGTTGCAAACTGAGGGGGGTTGGGACGGCGAGGCTGACCAGTGAGGGGCTCCAGTGTCTGCACAGATGGAAGCTGAAAGGAAGTTCTAATTAGCACAAAGCCGGCACCTTCCATTAATAGCTCACCACTGCTCCTGGATGCCGCTGAAGGCAGCCAAGTTGGAACGTGTGAGGCTCACCTGTCCCCAGCTCATTAACAGACCTCGGGTGAGAACAGGGCTCTCCTGGAGGACAACCAGCCCATACCAGCTCTCCCAAAGGAAAAAAAAAAAAAATCTAATGGACAGGTTTGACTTCTGGGCCCATCCAAGGGGACAGTGTTTAACACAAGTCCAGTGCTCCTGGACACAAGCTCAGCCAGGCCTCCCAGGACATTGCTCCCTCCAGACTCTAAATAAATTCATTTTCAAAAGCCCTGGCATACATTCCATTTATATGAAACTCTAGATAGGTAAAACTAATCTATGGTAAGAGACATCGGAATGGGGACTGGCAGGGATTGACTGCTGAGAGGTAGGAAAGAAGTTTTTGGAATGAAGGAAATGAGGTTTATCTTGGGTGTTGGTCACATGAGTATAAATGCATTTGTCAGAACCCACAGAACTGTACACCTATGATCTGTTTCTAGGTGTAAATTATACCTCTATTAATATATGTGCGTGTATGTGTATGTGCGTTTATATCACACACATATCCATACAAAGGTCTCGGCCCCTGACTGTTTTCCCCATAGCCTGTGATCTCGTTGATGTGAAGGTTCACACCCTTTTCAAGGGTCACAGTGGAAAAAGAGGCCAGAGCAGATGGGGAAATGGGGCTGTGCACATCTCAGAAACACGAGGCCAGGGCCGGGCGGGGAGGAGGAATGTCTGAATTGAATCAATTAGCTGCAGAAAACTTCAGAAAAGAAGTAAGGCCCTTTATAAAAACAAAGCCCACTCCTTAATCCCCAAAGGCAATCCTCTCCCCCACTCCCATGGCCATTCCTCAGTAAACAAAGAAATCCCTCCTTCCATATCCACACCTCAATATTCATTATGGGCCGACGTTAAAGGCTGCATTCCAGCCTCCCAGAGTGCCCTAATGACTGGAAACCCACGGGGAGATGACTGAGGGCTCTGTCTCTCTTTCTCTTTCTCTCTCTCTGCATTCTCTCCCTATCTCCTCTGCCCATCCCGTGGCAGTCTGTAGCAGTGTTCTTTCTTTCCTTCTCTCACTTTCTTTCTTCAAATTAGTGAATAAGCAAACCAAGCAAATCAAGGCAAAGACATCCCTAACTCTACTTTGTTCATTTATTTTGACAAGTGCAGTTTAATTTTAATTATTTATGGTAATACTTCATAGTAGGCGAGTAAATGTGCCAAGGTATATTTGGTAACATTAATGAAGTCTGCCTAATAGGAACCGTCACTCCAGCACCCCGCCTGGAGAACTGCTTGCTGGAGAAGTGGGGTGAGACCACTGGTCTGTGGTAGGGTTTGCAATTTTTTGTGGGGGTGGGGAGGTGGGGAACTTAATGGGTTTGAGGATTAGCGAAGGGAAAATTAACCCGATTCTAGAGAAGAAGCAAATACGTAAGCCCATAATCATGTGTCGATGTGGATTGTGTGTATTTAAACACTGAGAGAGCACACTTTGTGATAAGGAGGCCCAGGCGTGTACACATGCCACACGCATATTTACACACGAATCTCAAATGTGCAAATCAGCAGAGGCCCACAGAAATTAGGCTCTGGGCAATTAAAAATTGAAATAAAAATGGAAAATGTGATACACGGAGTTCTATATCTCTTCAAAGTGCCTTTCTCCTATTTATATGCGTCAAGTGGGCAAACACAGTGAAAAATTTGGATGATAATAGAAAAGGTAGGGGATTTCTTCAGCCTGTGATCACATAGGAATGCTCCCCTCAACACACAATGAACCATGAAACACTAGTCTCAGTCAATGCAATGTTGTTATTTTAAATGGGACTGATGATTTATAGCACCCCACCCTGCCTCCATCCTTAACATAACTGATTGTTAATATAAGCATATGATTTGGTATATAGACCATGTATACACACACATATATATATATGCACACGTAGAATGGGTATATTATATATACATATGTGAAACCATTTAGTCCAAACACATAGGTAACTGGTACACCTTAAGATACATGCTTCAAGGCATTTATATTAAAATTATCTATAATGATAGATTTAAATCATAACATAATTAATGCTGGACTTTTGAGAATAGAAATATTTGACCTTTTTTTTTTAAGTACCAAGGGCTTCCTGTTTCTCATCTCTGCTTTGTTTGTCCATGCCCAGGGTAGTGTAAGGACATTTCAAGAGACAGAAGTGGGTTATCACCTTGAGACCAACTGCATACCTGCCTCAGGATGGAGTCCAGGATGCCCCCTGAATATAAAAGTCTGGGTTTAGTCCAGCTCCTGGGGCAAGAAATATTAAACTTGGCCATTGCTGGCTTCTTTTACTGGATGATCCCACTTGAGAAAATGGGGCCTCTCCACCACTAAGGTATGCCAAAGGAGGAGGCCCCTTTCTTGGCACAGCCACGTGTAGAAGGTTAGGAATGTATCCAGCTGACTCTCGAGTACCTGACAGGCCATAAATGCAGGTGCCCCTGGAAGTGGCCTCACAACAGCTTCCTACCCTCTCCAACCAGAGGGCTGTCTTGGCCATGACAGCAGGGTCATCAGCTGAAGGCACCTCATTCTCAGCTTTCTTGCCTGGCCCCAAGCTCCTTGAACCCTTCTCCTTAAAGCCATGGCCTGGCTCTGGCGTGGGAAAGGCGGTTTGGAGCTTTTCACAAATCCAGTATCCCCTTGAACCAAAACCAATTAGCCTGGCCCAAGGTCCTGTCATTGAGGCCCTGGCCCTCTTTTCAAACCCCTGCGGCTCAATTGCGGTGAGGGGCTGGCCAGTGAATGCCGGGACCACTTAAAGTGGTGCTTAAGCCAGACCAGGCTTGAAGGAAGGAGCCAGAGCTTTAGGAGCTGCAGCGCCCCATTCTCAGAGCCACTGACCAAGGTTTTGTTCCAGCCACAGCCCCCACCCTGGCTCTATTTTTAAAAATCCTCCCTCCTCTCCCAGCTGTCTGGAGGAGAGATGAAAAGCTGGCTCTAGGAAGCCACGAGACACCCAAACTTGGCTGCCCTGGACAGAAAGGACATCCTCAGGTTCTGAATCCTGCCCCCAAAGGTCTTGCCCAGGGAGAAGGAGCTCTAACACTGACAGAACAGCCGGTGTGCACTGAAGGCTTTCCAGGCATGAGCCTGCACAGCAGCCCATCTTCTGGATGCAAAAACTAAGACCCAGGGAAAGCGACTTGTCTAAAATCACAGCACTTAACAGCAAGAAAATTGGGGGGAAGCGTCTGGGGGCTCCTGAACACCACTGTCTTTGGAAGAGAGACATAGAAGAGGATGAGAGACCAAGATGAGCCTTTATACCAGAGCTAGGTCCTGGGGGGGATGAGAGGACTCGTGGAAGAGCCGCCCCAGGACAAACCCAGGCCCCTACCCAGGCCCCTTCCACACCATCCATTTGTCCCCTGCCTGACCCAGCTGAACTGACCCTAGGCAAAATGGGGTGGGAATGCGGACGAGGCATCACGGCCTCCCTCCATCCGCCCCTCCCCCCCACCTGTCCCCACCTTCCCTTCACACCCATCTAGGCGGAGTGAAGACTTGCCCTCTGCGATGGGCAGCACTGCCAGGGCGCCCTAGCCGTCGCCATGGTGACGCGCATCCCACCCTAGGTCAGAGCTGATTGGTCACTCTATCCAGGCTGGCGGAGGGGGCAGCCAAAGTCAGAGCGGGATGGGGGGAGCTGGGGACACCCAGCCACACCATACACGACAGATGCCAAGGGGGAAGGAAGGCCACTAAAATGGCGCCGCGGCCTCCAAAGGCCGCTGCTGTGGGTGCGCATACCCGGGTTGGAGAAATCCCGGCGGTTCTGCACCGCGCGGCCTCGCCTGGGCCCTGGAGGGCGCATCCGTCCCGCCTGGGCTGTCCCGCGGCTCATGGCCAAGCGCTCCTTGCCCAGCCCGGAACCGGGCGCCCGAGCCAGCGAACAGGCCGGCTCGCCCCAGCTGGCCGAGCCCGACCCGCCGCGCGCTCGGGCCAGGCGAGCGCGGCGCGGCGGATTAGCCCTGAGCCCGCAGCCTCGAGGGCGCGGGGCGGGCGCGTTTGGGGTATGAGGGCGGGGCGGGCGGCGGCCGCGCCTCTAATCCCGGCGCTGCGTGTGGGAGCGGCCGGATCAGGGAATTAGCGCTGTAACTTCGGATTAGTAACGCTCGCTAAATGAGTGCCTAATTCCGACCCTTCATGCTTTTCAGCGTCGCGGCTGAGTCCTAGGAGGCCTCCTGGCCAGGCTCCCTCCGCGCTCTGGTCCCATTTCCCGGGAGGTCCGGCCGCGGCCGGCAGAGAACTCTCCGGCCTGTGGAGATCCGGCCTCAGGCCGCGCCGCAGCCTCCTCTCGGCAGCGCATTTCATTGGCCCGGGCAGAGGCCCATGCAGTCCCACAGCGTTCGGAGTTGGGAGTTCGTGGACCAGAGAAAAGGAAGCCCCGGATGCCTCGCCCACCACGGTGGCTGTACTGATCGCTGCCCTGTCAGTGGCCTTCTGTGCGACCTTCCGTGAGCCACTGGGCCTTTTTACACCATTTCTAGGTGTAAAATGAAAGGAATGGGGTGAGAAGTATCCGAGATTCTCTAAGATTCTGGCTTCCAAGCTGCAGCAGATTCTCGGGATCTCCAACGCCTTTTTGGATGAAGAAAGAGTAGCACAAACCGGAGACAAAAATGAAGCCCAAACGTGGGGAGCCAGTGGCCAGAGGAGGCTTGGGGAAGGCCTTCCTGGGGCACAGGAATGGAGGAGACGAGGGACTGAGAAGGCCCCAGACCCGTCCGGCTACTCCAGGTCCAGGCAGGCCAGAAGACGTTGATGGGCCCAGGCACCAATTTTGAGTCTGTGCCTTGGGCTTTAAGTGTCCAAAGGGGATTCGAACATTGCTCTAGTAGGGGCAGGCATTCGTACCAGGAGGCCGAAATCGGATGGGTTGGCCTCTGGCCTCTGGCCTCTCTCCGAGGGCCGTTTAAGGAAGGTGTGGGATGGGCTCCTGGAGATTAGAACTGGCATGCTCATCGCCCTCCGCAGCCCTGCTGCCGCGATCTTTCTCTGAAGCGGGAGGTTTGCATCAACAGATTTTCGTAGAAAGCGGGAAAATGCCGCGTTGCCCTCCCGCACAGACTCCTCCTTCATCAGACCCTCAACTCGGGTTTCAGACCTGCCCAGATGGTATGGGACAGTGGTGTTTAACAACAACACTCATCTGAACTGTGTAGACACTGCTGGGAAGCTGCAAAGCCACCCTGGCAAGTGAAGGACTAGTTCTTGCAACACAGCAAACGGGTAGGGGTGGTGGGAGGGGAAGATCGAAGCCCGGGGCCCAGGGTTTGCCCACACCCGTTGGCCGGTGAGGGAGGAAGGCAGGGAGTGCAGGGCAAGGGGGCAGGAAGTGCTGCTCCGGTTTCCTCCGAAATGAGGTCACCATCAGCACACAGGCTCCCAGGTGCATTGGGAAGGGAGGGACGGCCCAAGGGATGCAGCCCATAGCCTCGTGAATCCCGAAACACTCTAGTCACCCTTCACCAGCCTCCTGTCAGAAAAAAAGGGAAACTGGCCTTTCAAAATGGAGGTGGGGTACAAAGGGATTCAGAAAACCTTCTGCCCATGATTATCTCTGAGGAGAACCGGGGACCAAAGTAGGAGGGCAGCTGACTTTCCCTGCCTGGTCTTTTGTGTGTATTTTTTATTTAATTTTACTGTGAATGCTAACACACTCACAGGGTTC
This sequence comes from Homo sapiens, assembly GCF_000001405.40. Lineage (NCBI taxonomy): Eukaryota > Metazoa > Chordata > Mammalia > Primates > Hominidae > Homo > Homo sapiens. The sequence goes on along the minus strand of NC_000015.10, from coordinate 89,369,866 downwards.
ACAATTCCAAAGGTATACAGTGAAAAGTCTCCCTCTACCATCCACCTCAGCCACACAGTTCTCCTCCCCAGAGCCAAGGGGTTTTCCTTTTGTACTGTTTGAATTTTCACCATTTACATATATACCCTATATTCAAAATAATTTTGTTAGGCAAAGAACAAAAAAGGTTTGCAGGAGTGAAGATGGAAAAAATATTTCTATTTTTACAAGAGGGCTGGGCAAAGGCTGGGAGAAGAGGGGCCGTGAAAATCACTAAGGGAGAGGCTCCAGGGAGTGAAGTGAGCCAAGATGTACGTAAGGTGGCCTGGGGTCCAGCTCTGCCTTCTGAGCTGTGTGACCCTTAGGGAGTCACTTCAGATCCCCAGATCTGTTTCCTCTCATGTAAAAGGGTGAGGGGATGGGGGTCAGGGCTGGGTGGTGGTGCCAGTTCCTTTCAGCCTGTCTATCATAGCACTCACATACCCATATACTTAGAAAGCCCCCCTACCAATCGGGGAGTCTGAGCCTACCTTTCTTCCTTTCTTCCCTGAAGCCGGGCAGGGTCCCTTCCTTGGTCTACAGCCACTCGCTGGGGAGCTTGGGAGGTTTCCCAAGCTACAGGGGCCCTGAGCTTCAGGACAAGCCAAGGCATCAGGGTGGAAAGTGACCTGAAGGCAGATGAGAAACTCGAGAGGGACCCTAGCACTGTGTGGGGCCGGGACCCCCACGCACTGAGCAGGGGCAAGCCCCACTCCCTGAGCCCAGTTAAGAGGGGCTGGGAGCCTGAGTGGCCGGGTGTGCTGCATTGGGTTGCCATGGGAACGAATTCAGATTTCCCCCAATTGCTTTTTTATTTGCTAGACATTGTAATACATCTTATGTCGTGACTTCTTGGGGCAGGGAGGAGGGGGAGCTCTGGGAGCTTGCCTGCACCTTAACCTCGCGGGAAGTTGGGGAGGCTTGGGCAGGAGCAGCCCGGTCGGGGCTGGCGTAGAGGTAGCGGGAGACTGAGCTCGGTTCCTCCCGCCCACCCGCCGGCTCTTGGTTTGTATGCAGGGCAGGGCCGACCCGTCGGGGAGGGAGGCCCCTGCCCTGGCCCCTTGCCATTGAGCGCACTCCCCGCCAGTTCTGCTCCGCTTCACGCTGCACACAGACCCCCCAACTGCACACAAAGGCAGCTGCCAGAGCCCGTGAAAAGTGATCAAATTATCAAGAACTTGACCTCACCGAGGGGCGAAGCTCCGGCAACCCCCCAGCCGTATGCTAATGGCGCTCAGGGGCTGACTCGTCGAATAATTCGATAAAGGCCGCATTGTTAGCGGCAGGGCAGCCCCCAGCCCACCCCATTCACTCCCTCCACCCACCCCCTACCGACCGCTGTCTCTCTCCCATCGCATTTGCATCCCAAAATCCCCGTCCACGGCTCCGGGAGCGGATTGTTCCAGCCTGATTTATGGGGTGAAGGCGAAGGCTGGCGCCTTCCCCTTCCAGCGACCCCTCTGCAACCCCAACCCCCTCCCTCTCCCCGGCCCGCTCCACTTTGGGGTTCCTGCTCCGGCGCTGGGGGATAGGGGTGGGGGACCAGGAAAGAGGAGGACTGGGGGAAAGCTGGCACTGCAAGTGTCCCCAGAGAGAGAGCCGAGGTCAGGTACCTGGTCGGGGCGCGGCCGCTCCGTCGAGCTGGAGTCCGCTGGGCCGGCGCTGGGCTCCTCTCGGCTCCTCTGGCTCTTGCGGGCCGGGCCGGGGCGGTCGGTGGGGCGGGCGCTCGCACGCAGAAGTTGTGAGAATCATTTCTACTTTCGGTTATCTAGCTTTATGACGGCTCTGTGGCACTCATACAGCTAGATAACCAAAGAGAGAAACGGGCCTCCCTTAGCCAGTGCCGCTGCCGCGCCGTGGGCTCCACGTGCTGCTGCCTGCCGAGCGCGGGAGCCTGAGCGGACGCCGTGCCCGGATCCTGGGGCGCACGCGGAGAGCCAGAGGGGATGGACAGACACACGCACACGCTGACTCCCGCCACCTAGGCCCGCAGCCCCCGCCCAGTTCCCTTCCTCCCTCGCCCTCCCGGCGCATTTCTCCCCTGCTCCCCGTTCCGTGCGTCCTGGCACCGGCGCTGCCGGCCTGCCTCGACGGCGTCCCGGGGCTCACGTAGGGCACCCGCGCGGAGCGCTTAGAGAGCCTCGAGCGCCCCGGCCGCCCCCAGCGCACTGGACCGCCGGCCCTCCTCTCGCAGGCTAATCGCCCCGCGGGGAAGTGACGTCAGTCCAGGGATCGGCCAATCACAGGCTCCCATTCAAATCCCAGCCCCCTTCCCGCGCTCCGCACCACCCAGCCTTACAATGGCCTCGGCGTTCACGGCTTCCCCGCCCCGAGGGCAAGGAAGCGCACCCTCTGCCCTCAGAAGCCTCAGGGCTGCGCACCGTCTGATCTTTCACCCAAACTCCTCCGTCTTCCTCCCAGGGCCCAGGGAGCCCAGTACCCACTGCGGACCATCAGAGTTTGGGAGACAAGAATGCTCGAGTGACAAGGTTTAGGGACGCGTGTGATAGGACGTGGCGATCTCCACAGGAGGGCCGAGAGCGCTCACGGAGAGGCCGAGAGCAGAAGCCATTTCACCTTTAACTTCTCTCTTCCTTTCCCCATGCCCAGCACTTGCAGTAGATCTAGCCCACGCGGCAGAGACCAGGGATTGGAGGAAGAATTAAGTGTCCCGGTGAGCGCAGGTCGGTGTCCCACCCATAACACCTGGCACTCAGAGGTTCCTCAGCTATGCTCCACTTGGGCGAGGCCCTGGCCTGGGCCCTGAGTACCAAGCTGCTAGGTCCCTTCTCTCTCTCGGTTCCTAGACACACTAGGAGTGTAAAACCGATTGTGCCAAGCACCTTGGAGAAGTCCTAGGCTCTCTCTTGGCTCCTGGTTAAATTCATATTTCACCAAAAATTAAAGCACAAAGCCATGCCTCCACTCTCCTTCTTCAGCTCTCAGCACACACCTGGCTACTCACTCCAAGTAGCCGCAACAGTGGAAAGGGACTGCCACCTTGGGTCTCCCGGAATCACCCCTAAACTGAGCTGGCAGCTGAATTGGTGGTACCATTGCAGCCTTCCAGATGTGAGTGGCCTATGGGTACCACTTCGTGCTCATGCCAGCCATCACCCCCTTCTTCCTTGCTGCTGTGGCTACCCTCCAGCCTTGAGCCCTATGATTCACCTCCGCCTGTCAGCCATCCCCAAGATGCAAAGGATTCAGTATGAAAAATGCAATATCTTTGCTCCTAGATACCCCCAGAAAAATCTTAAGCTCAACAGCTAGGGAGAGATTTTATGTGGGACTGGGCAAGTGGATTCCCAGATTCCAGCAGTCAATACACGGGAGTCACAGAGACTCTCACTGCTGCTGTCTACAGTGAGCACTGTGGGGTTAGGTGGAGGTACCCGTGCAGATTCATTTTAGTGGGGTCTGGGGCACTGGGCCACTCTGAGCCAGGTAAAACCCTTGCAGGATGGGTTGGAAAGAAGGGGCCAAAAGTGGATGGTTTGGAAAAGATTTCATGATTTTACTAAAAATCTCTTCCTTCCATACACTCCCCTAAAAATGACACATGTGGATTTTGTCAAGTTCTGGATTTTGTCAAATGCCTCTTTCCCCATTGCTTGTCTGTGGTTTGTTCTAATTTCATCCCATCTCTAAATCCGAAGCAGGTGACATCCTGCTCTCATCCCAGCCAGCTTGTGACCAACCAAATCTGCTATGTACATGTTTCCCTCGAAATCCCACTTCGCAGACACATTCCTTTTTCCAGAAGGTGAACAAGGGCTGGACAGCTGAACCAGCAGAGGAACAGAGAGGCCAGCCACGGTTCAGGAAGGAAGCTCTGAATTTGGGCCCGAGACAGTTAATTCCATGAATTTCCATAATTGGGAGGCGCCCCTTGCTTCCCCTCCTCCTGCAGCTCCAGGAACCTGCACCCTCTTCCCTTCTTGATGTGTGTGTGGGCGGCCTTCTGAGCCCTAGTCCTTTCCGGGCCACCCAGGGGTGGGAAGGGTGGGGCTGCGGAGGCAGGGAGGGGCCCAGAAGCATGTTTCACCTGAGAGAGAGGGAAGAAAGAGAGGAAGCGAGGGGGAAGAGGGAGCGAGGAACGAGCCCCTCGGAGTGTGATTTAAGCAGGATGCTGCACAAAATGGCTCCTCAGCGAGACTCGCGGTAACCGCGCGCGGAGGCCGGCCTGCAAGCCTAGGGCGGGTTGGGGCTTTGGGAGAAAGAATTAAAAGCCTGATTTCGATTCAGTTCAGATGCAGGAGGCCACTGTCATCAGAGCCACATCTCTACTGTCTTTTTGGGAAATCGAGTCCCTTCTTGGGAGCAGGTGAGGCTGACCAGGGGGAGGCTCCCACACCCTGCTTGAGTGAGACCGGCCCCAGAATCAGTGCCTCCTCCATCTCACTGTAGCCCCACTCCCAGGAAGAAGGCCACAGAAAGACCGAGCCTCAAGGCCATAGGCTGCTGAGAGGAGGCTGTTCCGGTGGGTCAAGGCAGCTGCAGTCTCCGTGGGTTGGCAGCCGGCTTCCACACACAGCTTAACAGGAGCCCGGGAAGCCATCCAGGTCGACACCAGGCAGAAGCGCATTGTGTGGGCTGGGCACTGCCAGCTGAGGCTGGCAGACTGCTGGGCAGGCCAATTCAGAGACCAAGTGGGGAGAACCTGACCAGCCACCAGCATTGACCCAGATTGCCCCTTTGCCTGCAATTCAGGCTGTGTCTGGGTTCCATGAGCTTTCCCCACACCAAGCCCCTAGCCTTGGCCTTCAGCCCCAGCACAGTCCCTAAAGTTTCAGAAGATCAGGTACTGGGTCTGGCTGGCCACTGGGCACCCAGGCCAAAGCACCGGTGGCAGTTGTTGGGCCCTGGCCATGGTGCTGAGAGCTGCCTGCCAGGCCTGTCTCTCCACCTCCCCGCTTGCCCTGAACTTCTTCCACCTCGCCCCCTCAGTCCTAAACCCAGGCTCCAGGGGCACCTGCAGCTACCAGGAGAAGCTAACAGCCAGAGAAAAAGAAAGCCTCAGCGACTAGGTGCCTCCACGGAGGGCCTGGGACTCAATTTTTCGTATTCAAACCTCCACTGAGGAAAGAGAGCCCCTGGGCCATGAAACTCCCATATCCAGATCAACGGAGATGCCCATTCCTGCTGCAACCACATGCATATCCTGCACTCCCTCAACTCACCAAATCTGCACAATACCCCCTCACACACTTGGCCCTCCGTCTAGCAGCCAGCCTAAGACAGGTGGCTGGTACCTTGCCCATGCATGTACACGTGTACACTCTTGTACCCATTGGCAGTGGCAGCTGCTTGGACTCCAAGCTGGCTTTGGCCCAAGTTCCTGTTTCCTATTGGTAGTTACACAACTCAGCGCGGGGGACCTAACAACCCACAGGAGTGTGCCTTCTATTTCAGGACATAGCAAATTAAGTGGTTAAGTGGCAGGAGAGGGGGACAGTTCTGACCCTAGCCAACAGCCCTGCGCAGGCACCCTTCTACTGAGACCAGACTTGCCCTGATCTAGAGGCTGGGAGCCAGAGGCCAATGGAACTCCCCAGGCGCTACTCCAGGCAGATGCAGCCACCCAGCCTGCAATTCAGCCTGGAGCTAGTGCTCCTTTCCTGAGTCCCACGGGTTCTTAATTAGGAGACAGTGTCTCCAGCCACAATCTAGGCTAAGTCCAGGGTGCCCTCACCCCACTGCCCCCTCCCTCCCTTGTTCCTTCCTCAGGCCCAAGCTTTGATTAAGCTGATCTCCCTATTGTCTGGAGGCCGGCAGGACTGCTAGCTGAGAGACCCAGCATTGGGCCAGCTCAGATGGACCCAGCTCCCTGCACCCAGGAGGTCCCAGAGCCTGCACACCCACCTTCATGTACACGTGGTCAGTCGAGCGGTAATGCTCTCTCTGGCTCCCACATCCAGCCTCTCTCCTCAGCAGCTGAGGTGTGGGCTCTGGGGAGGCCTAAACTGGGCAGGAACCTGAAAACACCCCTCCTGAAAAGGCCTGGACAAAGGACTACCCCTTCCCTGGGGTCTCCAGCAGCAGATACTGCTAATGGAAGTCCTGAGGTGGACCCTGTATGATGCCCCCATCTCAGTGCCCACTTAGCCTAACCTCTGGCCACTGTTCCTTGATTGAAAGGTAGACCCTCAAACTCCATCCTCTTCCCCTCCATGGCTTAAGAATCCCCCTCCTCCAGGATATGGGGACACAAAAGGGGGCTCCCTTTAGGCCCAGCACCTCGATTTCTGCCCAGCCACAAAGATTCAGTGTGTTTTTCTGGACTCCAGTACTGCTTCTGTGATCTGACCCTGGAAGTTCTCCCAGCTTCTGTTACCTCCCTGCTCTGACGGGTCCAAACTGGACCAACTCCCCCACCAACCCTTCTTCCAAAGAAGCCCCTCACTTGACTCAACCTCCACCGCTGCCCATATTCTTCTCCAGCTCAGTGGAGCCTAGGCTGGAGGAGGCTGCAGAGACGCCCACAGACAGATCAAAGAGGCCTGTTCTGGGGCACGGAGTGGGGAGCAGAGTGAATAGGATTTCCCAACAACTTCCCATTTCAGAGGGGGAAAAACGTCATAAATCTTGTCTAGAGCGGGTGCTGTGTGGTGCATTTTTCTCAAAATATTTTTTTCAGGAAGCTGCTTTCTAGGTTATTATTTTTTGTGGGGGAGGGGATAAGAAGGAAGGGGTAGGGGGGCAGTGGCTAGGGAGAGGGCGATCCTGGGACTCACAGGAACCTCACTTCAGAAACCTTCCTTTCTGCTAAACCTGTCTGCAGCCCCACAACTTCCAGCCGACCCTGCGCCCTTCCCCTTTCCGCTCACCCAAAGTCCTCACCTCTGGGCGCTTCCCACTGCCCCACAACCCTTTGCCCGGGATGACTGAGTCCTGCCTCCCACCCGCAGTGGGAGCGCACCTCTCATCCCGCCCAGCGGCAAAGGGAAGCCCCAGCTGCCTGAGCTGCCCAAGGGGGCCGGGCAGGGATGCCCCAGCCCCCTCTCTCAGTCCAGCCCAGCTCCCTGACGCTGCCCTGGCCGAAGCCACCGCCCTCACTCCCTAGCCCTCGCTCCCCAGCCTCGCCGAGACACAGCGGGCAGTGGCACTTACGGACCGGGAAGGGGGCCCGGGCCCCAGCGAGGCAGCGGCGCGGGTGGGGCGGCTGTGGGGACCGCGGCTCCGCCACCCCTGATCAGGCGCGTTCCCGGGCTCAGGCCCAGCTCTAGCCGCCCTCCGGGCGCCCCTGCCCCGGCGAGCGCATGGCAGACAGCTGCGGGAGGCAGGCACGGCAGTGGCGGAGCGGGGGCTCCTGGCCGCGCGCCGCTTCTCTGGGCTCTGAGCGGCTCCCAGCGCCGCCTTCTCGGGCGGGCACGGCCCGCAGTGACGTCAGCGCGGCTCCCCCCGCCCCCCCCTTCACCCCGACCAGTGCGGAATGGAGGCGGCGGAGGAAGGCTGTGAGGGGCGCCCAGCCGTGTGCCTTGGCCTTTCCTCCCCACGCCCCGCTTGCCTCCCAGCTTTTCCCTGGGAGTCGCAACGCCATTCGTCCCCCCTCTCCTCCCCGCGCTGCCAGACTCACTCGGAGCCACCAACGACCTGGGAGGTGATGGCAAGCAGCGGGTTGGAAGCCTCGCTGGCAGCTCCAGACTTAGGGATCCGAGCTGCTTTGGGAAGAATGGAGAGCTGAGGGCATGAGGGTCGTCCACCTCCTGGCTGAAAGGGGGCGTCTTATCTTTCCCCCCAGCACAGGTGTTGGTTAGGCTGGGGATATCCACGCTGGATTGGATGGTCCCGGGGCTCCCGTGTGAGCTCAGAAGGGATCTTTTATCTCGGGAAAACGTGTCCCATTCGGAGCTGGGGATGCCCTCTAGGCTGGGTCCTGCTTCTTCAAGACCCAGAGCAGCCCTGCGGCCCTCCTACCCGCCATGTGCCCGAGGCTGTTCACCGGCAAACTCGCTGGGCCGACTGCGCCCCAGAGCCGCTGTCCAAATGCTGAATCTGGCCTCCCCTGGGCTGGCTCCCGACGTCCCGCTGCCTATGGCTCCGCGTTTCCCTCAGGGGCAGGCAAGGGGTTCTGGGACGCACAACGCGGAGGCCCCAGGAAACTTTGGGGCTCCAAGATGACATTGGAAAGCTTCAGGATAGGGGGCGATCGGTCGAAGGGAGACAGAAGCCAAGAGAGCAGGCAGAGCAGCGCGCCTGGCACGCCGAACCACGCGCCCTTGATGACTCGCCCCGGGTCCCCTCCGCCCGCCCGTGTGTGTTTCTCCCACTTCCACAGTAGGGGAGGTCCCTAGGCTGAACTTGTCAGCGGGTCTCACCATTCATCACGAGCCAGACAGACAGGCCAAGTTCATGAGCAATACTGTTAACCCCTTGCAAGCCAAGCACCTCTCACAGGAGGAAGCCTCCTGGCCAGGGAGCGTTCTCTAAGGTTCCAGAGGCACTGCCTCCCAGGAACGTGGCAGCCACCGCTCCTTTCTTCTTTTCGGCTCGTCTCCTAACCATTTATTCCGTCATTTTATTTACACTTTTGGTTTCCACAGTCTTTCAAGTTCCTTCTCTTCTAAGTTAGTTTGATACCAGTATAACTGACTGCCTTTTAAATGTCTTCTTTTCCTACGTTGTGGCTGTGTTCATTGTGGAAACATTAGAAAATTTTGAAAAAATGAAATAAAATAATAATTGGCCCTATATTTTACACCTAGAGGCCTGACTTTAAAATACAAACTATATATTCTCATAGAAGAACCTAGATTGCTGGTTGTGCGGGGTGGGGAGTGAAGAAGGGGTGGAGAGAGAGAACCCAGTCTTTCTGAACTGGATGGGGAAGGAAAAACAAAAGCTCTGCGAAAGGGCTCAAAGAGGGAGCCCTATCCTCCTGTTAGAGGAGCCAAGGAGGGAAGCAGCGCCATGTAGGGCTAGACACAGGGGCCCAGACACCCCCTCCACTCACTGGTTCCTGTTCTAGCTCCAAAGCCCTAGGGAAGCTTCTCCTGGCCTTGACCGTGTGTGTGTATGTGTGCGTGTGTGTGTTGTGGGGGGAGGTGCTCTCTGCCCTGGGCGAAAGCTCAGTTCTGCTCCGGAACCCCAGCCATCTCCTGGAGAACTTTATCTGATTCTCCTTGCGGTCTGGTAGACTTGGGCCACCCCCTCCCCCATTTCCTATTGAATTCCTGGCGTCTGGTAGCTGGCGGCAACTAGGGCGACCTACCAACTTTTCCCCTGGGCATTTTCTCACTCCCTTCACCCCCCAGTGCTTTCTTTTCTTCTCCCAGCGCTCCTTTTGAAAGGAGGCACCCAGGCCGAGAACGTGTTCTGCAGTTTAACTACTTCCAAATTCTTTGTTCAGGTCACCCCGGGACTCCATTGTCCGCTATTGAGAGCGCGGGCAGGCCGCCGGGTGCGCCTCTGCCGTGCAGGCCTGAATCCATTAGGCCACCGATCCGGCCCCTGCGGCCCATTGACGCGCCTCCCTCGCCCGAGCGCCTGTGGCCCCCCTCCCTTCCCCTCCGCTCCCACCCTCAGCTGCCTTTTGGACTCCGCGGTGGAGTCACAGAACGCTGCGGGTCCGCCCGCGGGGGTTATTTGGGTCTCGCTCTGTCTTGAGGGGCTGGTCACGGTGCAGCCTCGGATGATTCTTGTGGGCTGTGTCCTATCCTGCAAGCCTCTTCCGGGGTGCTGCCCAAATTCTACTGCTTGGCTGCTGGGTACTACTTGGACCTGCAGGGCAGATTTTGTGGGGGCTGCAGCCCCAAACTCAGGAATGGGGGTGGGGGAAGAACAGCCAGCAACATCCTTCCTCCAGCTTCTCCAGCTTTCCAGCTGCTCCCCCACAGCCCGGATTTCTGTTCCTCTCTTTCCTCCAGGCCTGCGCCCTCGAGCTTCCAGTAGGGTCAAGCCTCTCCTGAGCTGGGGGAATGAAAGGGGGGCCATCCAGTTTCAGGGGGTAGCACAGCAGGGAGGGCCGGCCGGTTCCTGCCCCAAACACGCGCTCATGACGCCCTCGAAGGCTGGTCTCCTCAGGAGGGTGACTTTCCCCCAGCTCACTGGAAAAGAGGCAAGAGTCGCTCTGGCCTCAGATGCACGTTCCAGGCTCCCAGGGTGACAGGGTACGGCTAGGGGGAGGAGGCTCATCCGCCCCTGAAGCCTCCTCCTCTCCTGCCTCAGGACTCAGGGAGACGCAGAGCTTGGGAGTCCCCAGGGGGCTCAGCTCTGAGGTGCGTGCCTGGGGAAAGTCGAGGTTCAGAGGAGCAGCGCCCCCAGAGCCAGTGTCCAGAAAAGTATGGCTTGCCGTTGCGTATCTTTTTCTCGGCGCCTGAAGGTTCCCTAACCCCGTAGCGAGCCTGTTCCTCCTGCTGTGGGGTTACTGGGTCACTGAGTCCAGGGCGAACATCGACGCCCAGCCACGGGGCTTCTCGAAATCACTCGGGCCTCTGCTGGGGCCCGCCTTCTCCAGTCTGAGAATCGGCCAAACCCTTCCCGGAAGCTTAATTCCAGGAGAGAGCCGTGGAGGAGCCACGGAGGCCGGCGCGGGTACCAGGAACGGGGGCGCAGGGAAACTTGGCCGGAGAAAGGGTGCGGATGGGGGTGCAGGGCGCAGAGGCGCAGGCTGGATGGTGGGCGCCACTCCCCGCCGGCCGAAGAGGGAGGGAGGGAGGGAGAAGAGGAACGGGTGGTCTCCGCCGCACCTTCCCTGACAGCTTGGCCAGGACCGCGGGTCGCGGGGCGCGGGGCGCCGGACCTCGTGGAACCGCCGCGGCCTGGATCGGCTGCGAGGAGCCAGCTAGCGCCCCCTGGCGCCTCCGCCGAGCCCTCACAATGCCGTCGCCCAGTCCCCCATCCCGCCGGATTCCAGACCTGAGGCTGAGGAGGCTGGTGTCCGCGCACCCCCGAGACCTCGCCGGACTACGCCAAGCCTCTTAGAGGACGTAGGAGCTCCTGAAGGTCTCCCACGCTCCAACCCACGGCCTCCGCTCGTCCTGCCCACCCGCCCCGAGTGCTCCAGTCGGCGGTGCTGACCTCGCAGCTCTTCCGCCCCATAAGCTTGGCTCTGCGCGCTGTCCAACAGCGCCCTCTGGTGGGCGTTCCGGGGAGATGCAGGTGAGCGCGGCTGAGGCTGCCACCGATGTCGAGAACGGCTCGGGACCCGCGCAGCGCGGGCGGTGCTTGGGCACCTGCCTGGCGGTTTGTGGCTAAGTGTAGGGGACGAAGATGCAGTAATCTAAGGAGAGCTGGGCACCTCTTTGCCTCTCAACCACTACAGGTCAGGAAACAGAATGAGGGACAGGGTGAAATCTCACCTCCTCTTCCACCTAAGACTGGCACCTCTGCTATCTTGGCCTCCTTCAGGAAGGCTTTCTGGAGACTGAAGCGGACGGGGCAGGTTTGGGACCTTACCCTCGATTCTTGCAGCCTGGCAAGAACCCTGCCTTCATGGCAGGTCCAGTCCATTTGCAGCTTTGCCCTCCCCATCTCAGTGGCTTTCTTTTCCGCCAGGGTCCCTCTCATATCTGCAGGGCCTCAGAAAATTAAGAAATAAAAGCCCTTTCTCATCAGATCCGGAGATCCCTTATTCCAAGGGCAAGGTGGGAGATGGGCAAGAGGTAACGATGAGATGAGCGAGCAAGGCCCGGGATTTGGAAGGTCTGGAGATGTTTCCCCAGGCTCCCAGCCCCGTGACATGAGTGTCCTTTCAGGCTCAGCATGGTGTTCTGTCTTCAGTCTGGCCACGCATTTCGATGGCTTTTTGACATTCATTCACTTATTCATTCAACATATATGTGCTGAGCTCCTGCTATATGCCAGGCACCGCTAGGGATAAAGCTCAGAAAGGGTAAGTAATGTGCTCAAGGTCACACAGCTGGAATCTGCCGGAGCCACAATGCAGCCCCAGCCACTCCAGCCCTACCTCTCCCCTCTCACCTGGATGACTTCAGAAGTCTCCTAATTGGGGCTCCACCTCAGAACTCAGCCCCCTCCAATATGGCATCCACACTGCTGGGGAGAGAGCTTTGTAAAAGGCCAATCTGATCATGTCTCTTCCTTGCTTGACAAGGGTCTTCTGGCTCCAAGAGAAAGCCTCGAGTCCCTCACAGGCATACAAGCTCCCCCTGAGACTTGTCCCCCTGAGAGCCTTGTTCCCATTTTCAGGAACCCGACACTCCAACCATCCCAGGCATCTCTCATTTCCTTAAGGCCCAAGCTCTTGCACCCCTCCCTGCCTTTGTGTGACCCTACAGTGTCTCTGCCTGGAATACTCCTCCCTCTGGGGTGTCTTTCAGATTCTCGGTGAATGTCACTCCTCCATGAAACTTTCTGACCTGAACATATCCATCGTGGCCTCTTCCTTCACCTAAAGACTGGATGGGCCTAACTGGCCATACTTCTATGTCCTTCATCCTCCCTTCCCCGCTGACAACTAATTAATTGAAGCTGGCATGGCCACTGACCCCCGAGGGCTAATCCCTGGTCTGGCCTGAATGTACCAGGGTCTCTCCTGAGCACTGAAGTGAGACCTGGACTGGGAAGGTGTGCAGTGAGCAGGGGGAGCTCAACAGCCTCTGGAGTCAGTGCTGTGGTCAGGTGATAAGGGGACAAAGAAACTGGGAAAATGGAGCAGGCGAGTCAATAAACTAGCGGAGAAAAGGCCATGGGACTGGCAAGAGATAAAGGGCAAGAGAGAGACTTTCTCAGATGGCTTATGCCCTGCCCTAGCAGGAGTCTTACTCCTTTCCTCTGGCCTGCTTTGCATAGGATTCTGTCCTCTGCTCCTGCCAGCCCTCTGACCCCAACCCCCTTCTGCCAAGCCCGGCCCTTTTTCTCTGTGTGCCTTCCCGCCTAAGCAGCCCCTGGGCTGTACTGCAGGACATCTAGCACGTCTCATGGTGGCCAGCCTCCTGAAGGGCTGGCACCATTCAGAACTGGCATAATTCAATTTCCCCAGAGCCAGCAGCAGGCACGCCACCACGTGGCAATTGTGACAAACACAGTTTGCAATCCATTTGGACGCCAGCTCAGAATGATGAGTTTATTGATTAACGTTTAAAATGTTTTAGGATTTGCATTTTTCAGATTTGTTCACAGGGTGAGAATTTGCTAACAGTTAACGATTACCGAGTGGGTATGCTGTGCCAAACACGACTCCAAGCACTTTGTTATTAATCTTCACAGCTGTGCTTATGCCAGAGCTGCTCTTACTATCCTCACCCGGCAGATGGGAAAACCCAGGCACAGAGAGGTTAAGCAATTTGCCTCAAGTCTCAGCTAATCAGCAACTGAAACAGGATGAGAGCCCAGAGTCCAAATTCCTAGACTCTATGTTACACTGCCTTTTAATAATAGTTCAACGCACCACTGCACTCCAGCCTGGCGACACAGCAAGACTCTGTCTCAAAATAATAATAATAATAGTTCTATATTGTCCCATTCCTGGTTCACATAATCCAAATGTCCATAAAAGAAGCCAGCCAGTGCTTATCAGCAGACTCTATTGCAAGCCTCTTTCTTTCTTTTTTTTTTTTTTTTTTTTGAGATGGAGTCTCGTTGTGTCACCCAGGTTGGAGTGCAGTGGCACAATCTCGGCTCACAGCAATCTTCACCTCCCAGGTTCAAGCGATTCTCCTTTTTAAAATGCCAATCTGATTGTGTCTCTTCCTTGCTTGACATCTGTCGGTAAGGGTCTTCTGGCTCCAGGAGAAAGCCTCAAGTCCCTCACAGGCGTATGAGCTCCCTCTGAGACCTGTGCCCCTGAGAGCCTTGTAATCCCCAGTAGCTGGGATTACAGGCACCATCACGCCCGGGCAAGCCTCTTTCAACTCATCTGCTTCCCCCATATGACTGTGAACCCATTGAGGGGAGGAATGCTGTCTCAATTATCCCCAAACTCCCGGCTCCTGACACAGAAGACACAGTCAACATTTGGTGTATTGAAAAATGGCAACTTCCAGACATAAGAAGCTGTGGAAACACCCAGCATGTTTCTATATGTTTTCTTTGTTCCCATGGCAAATTCTGGCATCTCTCTGAAAGAGACTGCAACAAAAGCCTTTGAATTTTTCCACACACAACGCCCCCACACAATGTACCCTGGGGCAAGTTTTGGAGAAAAAAAATCTAGGGTTCCTATGGACCACAAGTTTATCACAAACAAACAATTTGGTGGCAAGAGTGCTAACAAAGTTAGTTAAATGCCAACCTGTACTGTACAAACTAGAAAAGCAAAACTACTTTACCTAGATGCTCTTCAAACTAGTATTCTGGATATGAATTAGATGCACTAATTAGAAGCAATTTGCAAGGGGAAAGTGAGGCAGGGGCCATCTTCCAGCTGCCTTTAAGCAATGCAGTGGAGATGTGGGGCTTTTCCACCAAGATGCTCCAGCATGCAAGTCTTCTGCTTCCTGATAGTCTAGAAGCAATGTCATAGTTGGCAGTGGTGACGACTTTTTTTTTTTTTTTTTTAGACAGATTCTCGTTCTGTTGCCCAGTCTGGAGTGCAGTGGCACAATCTCAGCTCACTGCAACCTCCGCCTTCCGGGTTCAAGCGATTCTCCTGCCTCAGCCTCCCAAGTAGCTGGGACTACAGGCGCACACCACCACGCCCAGTTAATTTTTCTATTTTTAGTAGAGATGGGGTTTCACCATGTTGGCCAGGCTGGTCTTGAACTCCTGACCTCAAGTGATCCACCTGCCTTGGCCTCCCAAAGTGCTAGGATTACAAGTGTGAGCCACTGTGCCTGGTTGTATGATGACTTTTTGATCCCTGGACCACAACCACAGCAGTGTGTTCTTGAAGTCAACAGTTCTATGGGACGGCTCTTAGTTTCCTACCTCCCAGGTAGTGACGGAAGTGGTAGCTCTTGCAGCCGGCCGGCTACTGTGTTCTGGGTGTCATTCCTGCAGACCTAGTCCACAACTACTTTTCTAGCCATTCCAACAATTTTGTAATCGCCTAATTCCCTATATTAAGTTCCTTTCTGCTTAAAACATCAGCATTGTTTTTAGTTCCTACACAAATCCTGGTTGATATTGTGTTTTTCCTTCCTTTGTTAATTTCCCAGACACTTCTTGGATATGTGGCGCAGATCAGGCAGTGCACTGGGTGCTCATACCAGGAGACTGGTAAACAAACAGCTCCTGGCCGGGCGCGGTGGCTCATGCCTGTAATCCCAGCACTTTGGGAGGCCAAGGCAGGTGGATCACCTGAGGTCAGGAGTTCAAAACCAGCCTGACCAACAGGGTGACATGGTGAAACCCTGTCTCTACTAAAAATACAAAAATTAGCCGGGCGTGGTGGCGCACACATGTAATCCCAGCTACTTGGGAGGCTGAGGCAGGAGAATTGCTTGAACCTGGGAGGCAGAGGTTGCAGTGAGCCGAGATCATGTCACTGCACTCCAGCCGTGGGTGACAGAGCAAGAGTCCGTCAAAAAAAAAAAAAAAAAAGAAAAAAAAGAAAGGAAAGAAAAGAAAAGAAAGAACAAACTCCTGCCCTTCCCAGACCTGTGTGTGGAGACCATCCTCGGGATGGCTGCTGCAGTGGACAGAGCTGGTTCTCCACCCAGATCCCCTCCCAACCTGCTTACTGGATCTGTCTGTCCATCCCCCAGCACCTGCAACCTCCTTCAGAGGACTGGAGCTTCATCAGCTGCATGAGCAGAGCTGCAAGTGCCTGGGAGTTTATGCCCTGACCCCAGCCCCCAAGCAGCCTGAAGCCAATGATGTCTTGTGCAGGAGTAGGAAAGCTCAGCTCCCTCAAGCGAGGACAAGCTCTAAGGTGCAACCCACACTCTGAAGCCCTCCACAGGATTAGGCTGAGGCTGAGACTTCACTGGAAATCCCATCCTTCCCTGGCTTCTGCCCCTTCCCTGGCCTGCTTCCCCCACTCCCTAGTTCTCCTGGAAGTCCTTCCCCAATAAATTATCAGCATGCGGATGATTGGGGTCTGCTTTAGGAAATGCTGACCTAAGATGGGTACCATAAATTAAAAGGGGCAGCTGGGCACAGTGGCTCACGCCTATAATCTGCCAAGGCCGGCGGATCACTTGAGCTCGGGATTTCGAGACCAGCCTGGCCAACATGGTGAAATCCCATCTCTACTAAAAATACAAAAATGAGCCGGGCATGGTGGTGCACACCTGTAGTCCCAGCTACTCAGGAGGCTGAGGCAGGAGAATTGCTTGAACCTAGGAGGTGGAGGCTGCAGTGAGTCAAGATTGTGCCACTGCACTCCAGCCTAGATGATAGAGACTCTGTCTCCAAAAAAAAAAGGTGTGGGGTAGCATTGAGCGACTGAGCGTCCAGGCCAGTGAGGACTTTGGTCATCAGGCTGAGTGAGTAGACAAGCCTGGAAGGAGTTTGTCCTAGAAAGAGAAGACCGAGAAGGTGATTGGCCATTTTCTGCAACATCTGAAGGGTCCACCTGTGAGAGAGCGGGCGGAACAGTGTGGGGTCACTTCAGAAGTCAGAACTGCCCTTTGAGAGGGCAGATGGAACAGTGTGGGGTCGATCCAGAAGCCAGAACTGCCCTGTGCTGGTTAATTTCATGTGTCAACATGGCTAGGCTATGGTGCCAGTTGTTTGATCAAACACTGGTCTAGATGTTGCTGTGAAAGTATTTTTTTAGATGTGATTAACATTTAAATCAGTAGACTTTGACTGAAGTAGCTTATTCCCCATAACTTGCTGGGCCTCGTTCAATCAAGTGAAGCTTTAAGAGAAAAGACTGAGATCCCCCAAAGAGAAAGAGATTCTGCCTCCAGGTTGCTTTTGGACTTAAGACAGCAAAGTCAACTCATGTTGGAATTTCCACAGCCCCAAAATTGTGTGAGTCAATTCTGTGAAATAAATCTCTTTCTGTCTGTCTGTCTCTCTCTCTCTCTCTCTCTCTCTCTCTCTATATATATATATATATACACACACACATATACACATACACACACACACACATAGACACACACACATACACAGATACACACCCTATTGGTGGTTCTGTTTCTCTGGAACACCCTAACACATGCCCTAAACTGGGGCCGGCTTCAGGTTGGTAGCAGCCAGCAGGGTTCACCACAGGAGCCTGTCAAGTCAGGGCAGTGTAGACACTGAATGGGAGTAGGGGAGAATAGGGACCCACACCCAAGGGACATGCAAGTCAGCAGCAGGAACACATCCTAAAGGCTCACTGAGGACGGCCCTGCCGCCCTAAGCCCTAGCTGAGCAGCTGAGCAGAGGCCGTGGGGCAGTGGAGCAGGGGGACCAACCCCAGAGCCTTTCCTGGTACCTCTACAGAGAAGTGTGTTGACATGCCTGGCACCTGCCAAGTGGGGTGAGACTGGAGTTCCTCATCAGCTCCACTGGGGACTCTGAGCCTGAGACCAATGTTCTCATCTCCCCGACTCCCATTTCTACCCACTGCTTATTTTCTGTGGGACTTAGGCCAACTGACAACTTTTTTGTACTTGAGTTTTCTTTCTTTTTCTTTCTTTTTTTTTTTTTTGAGACGGAGTCTCACTCTGTTACCCAGGCTGGAGTGCAGTGGCATGATCTCGGCTCACTGCAACCTCCACTTCTCGGGTTCAAGCGATTCTCCTGCCTCAGCCTCCCTAGTAGCTGGGTAGCTGGGATTACAGGTGCGCACCACCATGCCTGGCTAATTTTTGTATTTTTAGTAGAGACAGGGTTTCACCACGTTGGCCAGGCTGGTCTCAATCTCCTGACCTCAAGTGATCCGCCCGCCTCGGCCTCCCAAAGTGCTGGGATTACAGGCATGAGCCACTGCACCTGGCCATATCTGAGTTTTCATATCTGTAAAATGGGCTAGTGGTAGTCCCCTCCTCACAGGGTTATTGAAAGGGTTAAAGGAGACTGTTTTTAGAAAGCACTGAGAATAATGGCTGCAAGTAGGTGATCAATCCATGTTAGCCACTGGCAGCTACTATAGTTGCCTGAGATTTTCAGTAACCTGATTTGCCCAGTTAGGAGATGGGCTTCCTGCAGAGTTGGTGAGCTCTCTGTTGCTGGATGTGTGTAAGCAGAACCATGAGGGTGGGTGAACCAGGCAGGAATACCCCCAGGCTGCAGGTCATCTGGGGCTTTGGCAACTGCATTCAAGCCTGTGTGCTGGGCACGTGACCCGGTGCTGCGCCCTCCTCAGGTTCTACCCTTCAGTGGATGCTGGTCTCCATCTCCTGCTTTCATGCCTCAGTTTTATGTCTCTGCCAAATCCCTATAACTTGGCTGCCTTTGTATCCCTTTTAGTGAGTACAGTGACCCTCCTGGCTAAGGCCACAGGATACCAACCAAGGTTTGGATACCACCCTCAGGCCTGAAATAAGTTTTCAGGTTCCTGCTCTGTCCTCGGAAGGAACCTGGCAGGCACTCTCCCTCTCTGCAGACATCTCTGCCTGTATTAGTGACTGCTGCAATCCCCACACTGTGACAGGTCCAGCTTTGACAGCTTGTAGAGCAACTGTGTTCAACTGGGTTTGCCTCCTGAGCCAGGGACACCACAGACAGTTTTGCAGTTTGGGAACTGCCTAACTCTGGGGGGGGGGGGGGCGCCCTTCACATGTGGCCTGGTCCTTCCCCTCAGCAGTGCATATTGCAAAGGGAGAGGAATTAAGGGGAGATGATGCATATCAGAAGATTTAAGTAAAGAGGAATGCCACTTATTAAAAAGTCCGGCCAGGTGCCTGTAATCTCAGCACTTTGGGAGGCCGAGGCAAGAGGATTGCTTGAGGCCAGGAGTTTGACACCAGCCTGGACAACAGAGCGAGACCCAGTCTCCACAAAAAAAATTAAAAAAAGAAAATTACGCAGGCATGGTGGCACGTGCTGTAGACTTAGCTACTCATGAGGCTGAGGCAGGAGGACTGTGTGAGCCCTGGAGATTAAGGCCGCAGTGAGCCACGATTGCACCACTGCACTTCAGCCTGAGCAACAGAGTGAGAAAAAAAATAAAAATAATAACTTTCAAAAATCCTGGCCAGTCATGGTGGCTCACATTTGTAATCCCAGCACTTTGGGAGGCCGAGGCAGGCAGATCACTTGAGGTCAGGAGTTCAAGACCAGCCTGGCCAACATGGCAAAGCCTCATCTCTACTAAAAATACAGAAACTAGCTGAGCGTGGTGGTGTGTGCCCGTAATCCCAGCTATTTGGGAGGCTGAGGCAGAAGAACCACTTGAACCCAGGAGGTAGAGGTTGCAGTGAGCACATTGCACTCCAGCCCGGGTGATGGAAGTGAGACTCTGTCTAAAAAAAACAAAACCAAACAAAACAAAATCCTAAGTTGAGATACAATTTCCTTTGTGGAAAAATGAAATTCTGCATTGTTTATGCAATGCACCTATAGAAAGTAAAGGTAAGCAAAACCTTTCCTTCTGCTGAGGCCTATGGAGAAGACCTTGATTCTTAATGGTGTGTGCAACCAAGGGGGAGGGCAGGAGACGCTTAGGTCTGTTAAAAGGTGATGGGCCAGGCACAGTAGCTCACGCATGTAATCCCAGCACTTTGGGAGGCCGAGGCAGGCAGATCACCTGAGGTCAGTAGTTCAAGACCAGCCTGGCCAACATGGTGAAACCCCGTCTCCAGTAAAAATACAAAAAAATTAGCCAGGCATGGTGACAGGTGTCTGTAGTCCCAGCTACTCGGGAGGCTGAGGCAGGAGAATTGCTTGAACCTGGGAGGCAGAGGTTGCAGTGAGCCGAGATAGCGACGCTGCACTCCAGCCTGGGCGACAGAGAGAGTGTTGCTCAAACAACAGATATTTGTTTCTTCTCAATTCTCATGGTGTTGGCAGGGCTGGCTTCTTTTGAGGCCTCTCTCCTCAACTTGTAGGTGGCCGCTGTCTTCTCCCCAGGTCTTCACCTGGTCTTCCCTCTATGTGTGTCTGTGTCCAGATCGCCTCTTCTTCTAAGGAGGACACCAGTCGTATTGGATTAGGGCCCACTCCAACAACCTCATTTTAACTTAATTACTTCTGTAAAGACCCTCTCTCCAATTACAGTCATGTTCTGAGGTGCTAACTCTGGAGGTTACAACTGTAACACACGAATTGAGGTGGGGGGACACACTTTAGCCCATAAGAGACGGGCACCATCCCAACCCCATGTCCCACCTTGGCTGGTGAACTGCAGCCTGCTGGGGCCAGTGTGGGTTCAGGAGCACAGGAATTGTTACAATGCAAAGACCACCTCCATCCATTTCCCCAAGTGTGTGTTCCAGGCTCACAGGCCTTAGCTGCCATTGGGTCATTGGGTCATTTGATCACCGGGACTCTCCTGCCCCGCTGGCTGAAGTCCCCACCACCATCCTTTCTGAAAGCCCGTTTTGATCCCTCTCTCCCCGAGAGACCTGCTGTCATGTTCTGACCACACACTCCCCTGTGCCCAGCTCCCACACACTCAGGAACCTGCCATCAGCTCCTTTTAGCCATGAAGTCCCGTCTTTACCTTGGAAACACAGGCTACACCAGGCTGACTCAGCCCTGATTTCAGCCTGGCTGGGGAGGGAGGGTGTGTCCTGCGCATTTCTCCTGCCCTGTCCCCACTCTGAGGCCAGCCAGATCAGGGGTGGCATCATCTCACTCCAAGCTAGAGTGGGTCAGAACGTCTGTCTCTCCAAAGGTCAGTTTCCATCTGCCCAAAGCCTTTCTTCTGGAGACAGGATAGTTCTAGATCAGGAGGGATTTTGTGGTGTAAATCAGAGCCATGTTCCCGGCAGCCTGTGCAGGTGGCATCTGTGGGTGTTCTGTCTCAGCTAAATCGAAACTCAGTGATGCCACCCTTCTGTGTCACAGAGGCGGCTGCCAGCCCTGCTAACGGGTTAGTCATCACCTTAGAGCACATGGATCTGCAGAAACCATCTGGGGTGAGGGAGACCATGTGTGGCAGGAAATAAATGGAAAACAGCCTCAATGTCCAGGCTCAACATCCCCGCAAATATTATTGGTTAAGGGGTCATGCAATGCACAGAAAAATAATCATATCACGGTGCAGGTGAGAAAAACAGGTTTGTGGGTGCATGGTACATGCTGAGAATTACAAATATAGTAACATCACGAAGTGCCCTCACCAAAATGTTGGCAGTGATTATCTCTGGGTGATAGGCTTATGGAAGGTTTGAATTCTCTTCTCTTTGTTTATCCATGTGGGTTGGCGGATGGATGGTGGTGAGGGCCAGCTTGGGTCTAAGTGGGAATCAAACAGTCCAGGCTGTCCTACTGAATGGAGAGGGTTACAGCCAGAAGGCTATTTTCTTTTCTTTTCTTTTCTTTTCTTTCTTTTTTTTTTTTTTGAGATGGAGTCTCACTCTGTCACCCAGGCTGGAGTGCAATGGCACGATCTTGGCTCACTGCAACCTCCATCTCTGGGGTTCAAGCAATTCTCCTGCGTTAGCCTCCCGAGTAACTGGGATTACAGGCACCCACCACCACGCCCAGCTAATTTTTGTAGTAGCTGGGCGTGGTGGTAGTAGCTGGGGTTTCACCATGTTGGTCAGGCTTATCTTGAACTCCTGACCTCAAGTGATCTGCCTGCCTCGGCCTCCCAAAGTGCTGGGATTACAAGCATGAGCCACTGCGCCCGGCCCAGAAGGCTATTTTCATGTTAGCTTTGAGAACTTTCTGAAATTTTATAAAGTCTGTAATAACAGTAATAATAATTGTAATAACAGTAATAATAATTGCTAACCTTTATAAGATCTTTATAAAGGGCCAGGTATTTGCCAGGCGGTTTGCATTAAATTTGATGCATAGGTACCACTGGTGTCCCCACCTTACAGATGAAGAAACTGAGGCCAAGAGAGGATAAGTAACTCACTGAGATCACATGGTACTAAGAAGTGGTAGAGCGAGGATTCAAAGCCAGCTTTTAGCCACTCATTCTGTCCACCCTTCAAAATACCCCATGGTCTCGAGAATGACTGTTTTCTGCCTGCTCACTGGAGGAGCAGGGTCCTCAGGTGCATTCTGGGGACCTGCTGGCTCTCAGGCAGTCCTCCGTGAGCCAACAAACTGTGCACCTTGTCTCTGAATCCATGTGAGATGTTCCCAGAGGCTCTGAGGATCATTTGGGGGTGAGGGCTGGGGTCACTGGCAGGAGCCCAGGAGTGAGGATCACTATGTCAAAGTCATTCCAGCTGTATCCACAGGCTGGCACTGCCAGGAGAAAGGCCTAAGGTGTGCAGCCATTCCTGCTTTTTTTGTCCTTGTACGAAACTTGAAAAAAATTACAAAAATGGCACATGCCTCTGATCACAAAACAAACAATGCAGAGGTGTATAAAGAAAAGATTGGTTAAGCCTAGTGGCTCACACCTGTAATCCCACATTTTCGGAGTGAGACTCCATCTCTTAAAAAATTATAAGAAAAAAAGAAAAGAAAACAGTCATTTTCCCTCTCCAAATATCCACTTCCATGCTTGATACACTTTCGGGGGGAGGGGTGGGAGTGAGGGTTGAGGGGTGTTTGAGTTACTCTGATTCCTCTGGGAGCCACATCTGTGTTACTGCCCCCTCCCCAAAACACACACATGCCTGTCTCCCACAGATGGTCCCAAAAGAACTATGGTCCTCACCCAGGCCCCAGGGACTGGTCTTAGGGTGGCAGGTAACCCAAACAAGACCCATCAGAGTCTTGGCCTGAAATTTTGTAAACTGGCTACAAGAGAGGGTCAGGTCTCAAAGCCAGGTGGATGCAAGGTGAGAGCTGCCACAGCCAGGGACCTGTGATAAGGAGGAAGCTGGTCTAATCTGTAGAAAGAAGGAACGAGAGCTGGACAAGACCCCAGTGACGTCAGGCTCCTTTTGTCCCGTCCCTTTCTGCAGTTTGGCTGTATGTGCTAATAAGTTCCCCTTTTGTCTGCCAAAATTGGTTTTAATTAGGCTTCTGGTGCTGGTAGCCAATAGAATCCTAAGTGATTTGTCTTCCCCTCTGTAAAATAAGGGGACCGGACAGGCTGGTCTATGGGGGGCCTGTTGGCGCTGGCAATGGGGGGCCCTTGGCCCTATGCGCTGGGATGAGCCGGGATCTGACCTGACTGTAGTTGTCTCAGCTCAGCGGTAAAGGGACCTCAACATGTACCTCCCGCTTCAATGTCAGGCATCCTGGCTCAGTCTTGGGATACAGCATTTAGGAGGTGGGGCCAAATGAATGAAAGGCATGTGGCTGCCTCCTCTGGCTCTCTCCTGCCATTATCTGAGCTACTGCTGGGCTGGCCAGCTCGGGGAGGGGCAGGGAAGCAGGCACAAAACCAAAGCCTCTGCTGAGGAGAGAATCTGCATGTGTCACTGCAGCAAAACCTCACAAGCCCCCTATGAGGCTATCACCTTCCCATTATAGAGACAAGGATGCTGAGGCACAGCAAGCTCCCTTGTAATTTGCTTAAGGTCACACAGTTTGGACAGGTGGAGCCAGGATTCAGACTCATTTCTTTCAGAAGCCTTCACTTCACGGCAGGCTCTGCTGCTCTTTGGCAAGGACCCTGACTCCCTCCAGGGCCTCTAGCCAGACCCAGGGATGGAAAAGAGCATCCTCTCTTGCCCAGTGGCTGGGCCACCAGGGACCCTGAAGCTGTGCCTCCGTGGATGCTGGCATGAAGCCTCAAGCCAAAAGGCTCAAGGGCAGGGCTCTCAGCCACATCTACCGCCATGTGGCCTCAAGCAGAGGGCTTCAAGAACCCCATTCCCTCATCTGTAAAACAGGGATAAAATGCCTCCGTTGCTTCCCTCGCAGTCAGAGGGGCCCTCAAGTGGGGAAGCCTGAAGACACTGTCCAGCTTACTATCTACCAGTCATCAGACTTTCGTGTGCCTTTAGGAAGAGTTGTGCCCTCTTCCACCCTGGGCCAGACTCATGTCAAGGGCTGGGGCCAGCCAGGTTGCTGCCACTTTAACTCTGTCCCAGGGACCAGGGTGGCAGATAACAGTTAACAGAGGAGGTAACAGTCCAATTGCCACCTCCAATTCCCACCTTTTTTTTTTTTTTTTTTTTTTTGAGATGGAGTCTCCCTCTGTCACCCAGGTTGGAGTGGAACGGCACGATCTTGGCTCACTGCAACCTCCGCCTCCCGTGTTCAAGTGATTCTCCTGCCTCAGCCTCCCGAGTAGCTGGGACTACAGGTATGCACCACCATGCCCAGCTAATGTTTTTGTATTTTTATTAGAGACAGGGTTTCACCGTGTTGGCCAGGATGGCCTCGATCTCCTGACCTCATGATCTGCCCACCTTGACCTCCCAAAGTGCTGGGATCACAGGCATGAGCCACCATGCCCAGCCGCCTTTTTTAGTGACCATTTTTTTTTGTCTGTTTACCAAAAAAAGCAAAAAATCCTTCCCACCAAAAGATTAAATGTGGAAATTTTAGAAAATACATTTAAATCTATATACAGCTGATTCTCATGATTCAGCATTTGTGAATTTGCCTACTCTCTAATATTTATTTGTAATCCCTAAATCCATAATCATGGCGTTTTCAGTCATTGGAGGGCATTTGCAGAGTGGCCATTTGTGAGGTTGAACAAGGGGACGCTCTGTCTTCTTGTCTCAGCTCTTGTGCTGTAAACAAATGTTCTTTCTGCAGTCTATTCCAGATCACGCTTTTCACATATTTGTGTTTTTTGTTGGTGGTTTTGCTGTGTAACACGGCCTCCCAGCTCAGTGCTGAAGTGCTCTCTACTGTTCCCAAGCACAAGTAGGCTGTGATGTGCCTTACAGATAAAATACGTATGTTAGATTAGCTTCAATCAGGCATGAGTTATAGCACTGTTGGCTGTGAGTTCAATGTTAATGAATCAACAGTATGTAGTAAATAAGGTGCCTTTAAATGGAAACACACATAACACAAGGTTATGTAGTGATCATTTGATTGAAATGTTGTGAGCAGAGGCTCACAGGAACCTAAATGTGTATTTCCTCTAGGAACGATGCTTCCATATTTGCTCATTCAATGGTCATGGTGACTTTATAGACCATAACTACAGCCAATAATGAGAACTGACTGTTTATTCATCAGTCAGGGATGTCCATGATATTCAGCTGAATGATAGCTTTCAGTTACAGAATACTGGGTATTGGATGATCCCATATTTGAAATAAGTAAATAAATAAAGTTTTTTAAAAAGGCCTCTGGGTCAGGTGCAGTGGCTCATGCCCATAATCTCAGCACTTTGGGAGGCCAAGGCAGGAGGATCACTTGAGGTCAGGAGTTTGAGACCAGCCTAGCCAACATGGTGAAACCCCATCTCTACTAAAAATACAAAAATTAGCTGGGTGTGATGGCACACGCCTGTAGTCCTAGCTACTTGGGAGGCTGAGTCACGAGAATCCCTTGAACCTGGGAGGTGGAGGTTGCAGTGAGCAAAGATCATGCCACTTCCCTCCAGCCTGGGTGACAGAGCAAGACTTCGGCTCAATTAAAAAAAAAAAAAAAGTCTTCTGTTTGTGTGTTTTGATGTTTGTTGGAACATGGAGAAAAGAGTGAAGAGATTCTACCTGGCTTTCCTGGGTGGAGGGGGAGCAATGAGAGGGGGAGATGATTAAAGCTTTTCTGTTCTTTTCTTTTTTCCCTTGAGACAGGGTCTTGCTCTGCTGCCCAGGCTGGAGTGTAGTCCAGCTATGGTGCAATCATAGCTCACTGCAGCCTCAACCTCCTGGGCTCAAGCAATTCTCCCACCTCAGCCTCCCAAGTAGCTGGGACTACAGGCGCATGCCACCACACCTGGCTAATTTTTTTATATTTTGTAGAAATGGGGGTCTCATTCTGTTTCCCAGGCTAGTCTCAAACTCTTGGCCTCAAATTATTCTCCTGACTCAGCCTCCCAAAGTGCTGGAATTACGAGTGTGATCCCACTGCACTGCCCCTTTCCTTTTTTTAAAAGTTTTAGTTTAATATGCTATTTAAAATATATATATTATATAAAAATAATGTATTCTTTTTGAACAGGTAACAAGTTCACAATTCAAAACTGGAAAGCCACAACAGGATTTAAGTCAGAGTCTCCCCCTTACCATGTCCCGCCACCTGGAGGCATCAATGGTGTCAGTTTCTTGTGTTTCTAGGAAGGGATGGAGACTTTGGAGCTCCCCTCAAGAGTTTCAGGGTGGAGGTGAGGCCATGGAGGTGATGAAGAGCCAGAGTTTGCTGCTTGGATCTCGCCCTGGGGGCGCCTGCCCCTTGGTGGGTCCGGCCTCCCCTCCCCAGCCTTATCTTCCCATCTGAGCAAAGCAGGGTGCCCCGGTGACCCTCCGTGCTGTTCCTGACTGGGGCTGGAAGTGCGTTGACAGCTTCCACCATGCCTTCCCTCTCTGCCCCCACCTGGTGGAGCTTAGGTTCAGATATGGGGGCTCCAGCCTGACCATGGCCTCCGCCATCCACAGGCCTCTTCATGGCCCATCAGACCCAGGGCTGGCAGGAGGCTAGACAGTCTTGAAGGGGTCATGGAGTCTGGGCTCTGCCAGGTAAAGATGGCCCACTCAGGAGCCCAGGTAAGGATGAGCCAGGACAGCCAGACCCCACCAACCTCCAGAGTGAAGGGTAAGGAGCCCCGTGTTGGTGTGTCAGGGCAGCCACCTTTGCTCTCTGATTCTTGCAATGGGACACAGTCCTCAGCAGGTTGTCTGTCCTTGTCCCTGCCTCTTGGGCACTGGTCATACCTCAGTGGCCTTTGTTGACATTTGGGAGCCACTGAGTCTTTCTGCAAACCCATGGAGGGGCAGCTGATCCCCATCTTCTCTTCCTGTGGATTCCTGGGGCTACCTGCCTAGCCCAGGGCCACACACACCAGACGCACCCCTTGTCTGGGGCCAACAGGCTTCATCAGCAGTTTCCCACCAGCCCAGGCCCTCTGCTTTGCAAGATGCTGCTGGTCCCCGAGCTGAGGCAGTTTAGGCCCCAGCTGCTAGCATTCAGCCCCTCTTGCCTGTGGCCCCTAGACTCCTGAGAGCAGGGTCAGAGGTTGACAGTGGTTTGCAGGAAGTTTTCAAGGGTAGCCAGGGCTGGGAGCGGTGGCTCACACCTGTAATCCCAGCACTTTGGGAGGCTGAGGCAGGAGAATCACTTGAGCTCAGGAGTTTGGGACCAGCCTGGGCAACATAGTGAGACTTCATCTCTATTTTTAAAAAGGAAAATATATTAAAAGATGATGTGATTATTATTTTTTAAAAAAGCGGTAACCACGCTGGACGCGGTGGCTCATGCCTGTAATCCCAGCACTTTGGGAGGCCGAGCCGGGTGGATCATGAGGTCAGGAGTTTGAGACCAGCCTGGCCAACATGGTGAAACCCTGTCTCTACTAAAAATACAAAAATTAGCCAGACGTGATGGTGGCACATGCCTGTAATCCCAGCTACTCAGGAGGCTGAGGTAGGAGAATCACTTGAACCCAGGAGGCGGAGGTTGCAGTGAGCCGAGATTGTGCCACTGCACTCCAGCCTGGGCAAAAGGGCAAGACTCTGTCTCAAAAAAAATAAATAAATAAAAATAAAATAAAACAAAAACAAAAAAACAAAAAAATCTCAGTCTGTTTCCTAGTTCTTGGTCTGAACTCTGAATGATACAATGGGTACAGAGGCGAAAAAGAAATTTATTCTCACTGGGGTGGTTCATTTAACAAATACTGATTGGGCACCTCCTAATGCAGGCCCTGTGCTAGGTGCTGGGGATGTAAGAGAATCCAGACAGAACCCCTGGCCTCAGGAAGCTCCCACTTTGATGGGGGAGAAGGTTAAACAATCTTAGTGCCTGCAATCCATGCACAAGGTGGAGTGGGAGCCCAGAGGAGGGCACTGGAACCAGTCAGCGTTCACCTGCAGGAAACACAGACCTTTCCAGATATTTTAATGAGAAAGAGACGTAGTACAGAAGATTAGGTGCTTAAAAAACTTTGGAGGGGCCAGACAGTGGGTTCTCAGTGGGGCCTCCAGAATGACTTCCAGAATGCCACAGAACTGCCCTCTAGCAAATCAACAACCCCGGCCACCATCCCAGCCACTCCTGGGACTGCTGACTTGGCATCACTCTAGTCCTCCAAGCACTGCGGGGAGAACTGCCTGAGCTTCCACGGCCGGGATGTTCTGCCAGCCTCCTCATCACCACATGGTGCAGCACCAGCTCCAGTGACGCTAGGCATCCTGTCCTCTCAGATGAGAATGGCCAGGGTCCCTTCTCACAATTCCCTAAAGAAGGTGATATAACTGGGATACTTTGTCACCATCTGCTTTGGATCAGCTCTATTGGCTGAGCCTCCCTCATGGATGTTTGTTCTCCCTCAAGCCTGGCTGACGCATGCCTACCTTGCTCAGGCACCTGCCTGTGTCCAGCCAGCTGTGGCCAGGGGAGCATGGCCAGATTCCTGGGAGGTGGGGCATGTGAGAGTGGCAGGCCCTGCTACACCTCTTGGCAGGACTCCACAAGGTAGTTTGAGCTGCTTCCCTCTTTATGCTCAGATAGCAATGATTATGTGATCACAACTAACCTCTGCCACCTCAAAGTCTTTCTGGAACAAAGCGGGCAGTAAATAAATAAATACAGACCAATCCAAACTGAAGGACCCTTTGCAACCAAGCATGTCCATCATTTTCCCTGAAGAAAAAAAATACAGAATCTTTCCTGCAAGTCCTGACAATTAAATGAAAAAGCAACGTGGCTATTTGCTTCCAGACACAGGATGCGGGAGACGATGCTCCCTGACACGTTGAGTACCTGCTCGCGGAGCCTTGCTCTTGTTTTCTTCCATTGCTTGGATAACTGAAACACTTTTCGTTCCTGGGATAGGATGGGTGATTCCCCTTTCAACAGGAGAACAACACCATTTCCACAAAAGTTCTTGACCCCAAGAGTTTAGCCCAATATATTCCTCAAAAGAAGGAAATACACTGTGAGAAAGAAATACCCACTTCTCTTCACCCCATTTATACTCAACCCATGTTTTGAGCTGAAAAGCTCCTGCGATAAATAAATTGCCAAAAACGCATCTACCGTCTGCAGCAGGCCACAGACAGTGGGTTGTAGGTCAAGGCTGTCAGCCAAGGCTGCTGTCGGCGGGCAGTGCTGTGCTGGGCTGGGCCTGGCTGGGATCTAATAGGTCAGGAGGTGGAATGTACAATTTTGCAGCTGGTGAAACAGGCCACAGGGCCCTGGCCAGGGCTCAGAACCCATGGGCGTTTCAGTCATTCAGAAACTGAAGGTTCTGCCCTTCTCTCTGAAGGACACACTGCCCTGATGACATGCTTCCAGAATGGATCCTTCTATTCAAGTGTCCGCTCTTTTTAATTTTTAAACCATTATTTTAAAAATTTGTTTTTAGTAGAGATGGGATTCACTGTGTTGCCCAGGCTGGACTCAAACTCCTCGCCTCAAGTGATCCTCCTGCTCAACCTCCCAAACTGCTGGGATTACAGGTGTGAGCCACAAAGCCTGGACTTCGAGTGTCCACTCTTTTTTTTTTTTTAAGTTTTTGAGACACAGTCTCACTGTGTCACCCAGGCTGAAGTGCAGTGGTGCAATCTTGGCTCACTGCAACCTCTGCCTCCAACCTCTACTTCCCGGGTCCAAACGATGCTCATTTTTTTTTGTATTTTTAATAGAGATGGGGTTTCACCATGCTGCCCAGGCTGGTCTCAAACTCCCGAGCTCAGGCAAACTGCCTGCCTCGGCTTCCCAAAGTGCTAGGATTACAGACATGAGCCACCGTGCCTGGCCCAGTGTCCACTCCTATTGGAACTTTTTTTTTTAGTAATTTATAGAAATGTTACTACTAGAAATCAATATTTGTTTAGTATGTGTAAGTATGCAAAAATATATCAGAGATGGCAGTTTAATTTTTTTGCCTTTTCTAGTGACATACACATGTAGACTGAGATTCTTGGGGTTAACATCAACATTTTCAAAATTAAATTGTCTTATTGACTCAGAACCTCATCTTTGTCTTAAACTATGAGACATTAATGGAGTATCACCTTATTGCACATTGCTCAAAAAGTTTCTTTCTTCTGACCAAGGAACTTATATTCAGGTATGACTTTTTGTAAGCTGGTTGACTTTCTTACTGGTGCTTGTTGTTTTTTTTAACACATTAAACTAAATGATATATCAAATGTATATTATATATTTTAATATATAAATTATATGTTGTATAGTTATATGTAGTTGTCTATATTTATATTGTATATATTATATATACATAATATATAGTATATATTATGAAAAGTGACAGGAGTTTTCAATTTAGGGCAGAAATACATCACATTTCCTTTAAAAATACTTACCTGTACCATAGATACCTCCAGTATCATAGATTGTTGTGGAGCGAAGGTAATATTATAAGTAGTTGCAAATGACAAACTACAAAGCATTTTGCAAATCTAAGAATCTCACCTACAGCCTAGCTAGTCTCATCTCAGTGAAATTTAGCTGAAGACTTTTTTCAAAAAGTTCATTCATTTGTTTAGCAAATATTTAATAAGCACTCAATCAGTGAGAGCTCTTTCCACCACAAGTGACAGAAAATCCAGCCCAAACTAGCTAAAGCAAAAAGACGCTCTTGCCATTGGCAATTTCAACATTGACTGGATATTTGATGATATGAAGGCAATGCCGTTAATTTTTTTGGTGGAGTGTCCTGATTGGCTCAACTTAGTTAATAAGCCTTGTCCCTAACTCCCTGAGCCAGGAGCCTTGGTCAGGAGCTAAGGAGGGACAAAATGGGATGGGGACAAGAATGACAGACGTCTGTCTCTGTGTGCCAGACATACAGATGACAGGGCACAGTTTCTTCCCATCAGGAAGCTTCCCAATCCTGAAAAAATTATTTGCATTTCAATCAATTTCTTTTTGACCTGTTCGTAAACTGTGTGGAGTTGATGGAACCAATTATTCCCCCCGAAATATGAAGCATGTTTTGAAAACAGTCTATGGCTATCATCCTGAATTCCACACATAGGTCACAAGGTCACATTCTCATTTTTTTCTTTTTATAAGTTTTATTTATTTTTAATTTTTTTTAGAGATGAAGGTCTTGCTATATTGCCCAGGCTAGACTGGAACTGCTGGGCTCAAGTGATCCTCCCATCTCAGCCTCCTGAGTAGCTGGGAATACAGGTACATACTGCCACACCCAGCCAGTTTTAAAAAAAATTCTTTATCTTTTTTAGAAATGGGGGTCTTGCTGTGTTGGCCAGGTTGGTCTTGAACTCCTGCCTCAAGCTATTTTCCTGCCTTGGCCTCCCAAAGTGCTGGGATTGCAGGCATTAGCCACCATGCTTCACACTTCTTACTTCACACTTCTTACTGGAGTCTATCTTCTCTCATCTGTAAAATGAATAATAACAGCACCTACTTTATGGGGTCATTGAAATGATTAAATAAAATGGTGCTCTAAAGCGTTCAGCCTGGTTCATTTGCAAGTGGTAGCTGTTGATAAAGGAAGAGTGGTGATATTTTCTGTCTGTGGCAGAAATTGCTGGAGTTGGGCTTGGCAAACCTGAGAGAAGACCATGAAAGTCACCAGGAAGTAAGCACACGAGAGGGACTCTGGAGGAGCAGGCTGTCACCTGAGGGCCCCTTACTTAGTCAGCAGCAGTGATGTAGGAGGCCACATCAGTGTGCACGTGCAGCGCCTGGCACACAGTTGTGCAGTAGGGATCCTCTGCTAGCATCATAAAGCCAGTATTTGCCGTGTAGTGCAGTTGCTGAGATCCTGGTTTCCATGAATTCAAATCCCAGCTCTACCAATGACCAGCTATAGGGCTTTAGGCAAGCTGCTTCGCCTCTCTGTGCCTTAGTTTCCTCATGGGTGAAAGGGGATAACGGTACCTCTATCCAAGGGTCGATGTGAGGATTCACTTAAGTGACATATGTGAGCCCTTAGAACAGCACCTGGCAGCTAGCAAGTGCCGGTTATTACCAAGCTCCAGGCAGGTCCTGGAATTGAGCTCAAAATAAGACACAAGGTCAGTCCCTATGGGCATTTACAGCAGTGGAAGGGGGAGATTTTTAAAAAATCATCATTAGTTACAACTGAGGTACATGCTTTGAAAGTACAGGGTGTTCTGGCCCAGCGCAGTGACTCAAGCCTGTAATCCCAGAACTCTGGGAGGCCAAGGCGGGTGGATCACTTGAGGCCAGGAGTTCCAGACCAGCCTGGCCAACATGGTGAAACCAGTCTCTACTAAAAATACAAAAATTAGATCCACATGGTGGCACACACCTGTAATCCCAGCTACTCCGGAGGCTGAGGCACGAGAATCGCTTGAACCTGGGAGGTGGAGGCTGCAGTGAGCTGAGATCACGCCTCTGCACTCCAGCCTGGGCACAGAGCAAGACTCTGTCTCAGAAGAAGAAGAAGAAAAAAAGTACGGAGTGTTTTGATGAGGACAGGGGTCCTAATGAACTTTGCCTCTTGCTCTGTGGGGGGAGAGGTCCAGGGAATTGTGGGAAAATGTAACTGTTTCTCAGGAACCACTATCAAGGACAGACTTTTCTAGAAGGACGTGGGGGAGTTCCTAGAAAAGGAGGCAGGGGAAGTGGAGGAGCTGGGTTCAGAAAGGCCTGGAAACAGGGTGTAGCCTGGCAGGAAGGGTGCAGGCCTCCAGGTACCCTCCCTCAGCAGGAATCAGTATCAACCGTTTTTGTCCTTGTTGAAGATTCTAATTCCAGGACCAGGGCACTAGGCTAGTCTCAAGTAGTCTATGGGAGGAGCAGGCATCTTGATGGACATCTCCTGAGACTGAATCTCAGGAGAGGCCAATCAGGCCCAGCAACAGCAGCCCCTGTGGACAGTTGGGCCAGGGGTTCTTAGCTTTTTTGTGTCATAGACACCTTCTTAGAATAGTGTGTTTCTTTCTTTCTTTTTTTTCTTTTTTTTGTTGTTGTTGTTGTTTTGGTGGGGAGTGGGGAGATGGAGTCTCACTCTGCTGCCCAGACTGGAGTGCCATGGTGCAATCTCGGCTCACTGCAGACTCTGCCCCCCGGGTTCAAGAGGTTCTCCTCCCTCAACCTCCCAAGTAGCTGGGATTACAGGCGTGCACCACCATGCCGGGCTAAGTTTTGTATTTTTTTGGTAGAGATGGGGTTTCGCCATGTTGGCCAGACTGGTCTTCAACTCCTGAGCTCAGGCAATCCATCCACCTCAGCCTCCCAAAGTGCTGGGATTACAGGCGTGAGCCACTGAACCTGGCCTAGAGTAGTGTTTCTGTTTTTAATTTTTTTCTGTGAAATATGTTTTATTAATTTTTATTTCAATAGGGGTACAGGCAGTTTTTGGTTATATGGAAGAATAGTGTTTTTAAGCACATAAAACATGAAGGATTACAAAGGACACCAAAGGTATTCAAATATTAGGACAAATAGGTAAACTTATTAACTAACAGGATCTAGTGGCAGTCTAGTAACCCCTGTTATTTTGAAGTACAGATAAGTGCAAACAAATTTTGAAAAATGTGCAGCACTTGTAATGCGTTATGAAAATATCTGTGGTTGCTGGAGGGGACAAAGTCACAGGCACTGTTAATACCACTGTGGCTGACAGCCTATGCTCATAATTGGAGGAAATGCCAAGTATCAGTAGGCGGTTAGAAGAAACAAGATGAAAATGTTTTCCCCATTCAGGGACTCCCTGATTTAAGCTGAGAGCCTCTCCTTCCAGTATTTTGTAAAAGTCAACAGTTATGTGAAAAAAAAAAAAAAAACAGATGAATTTCTGATTGATTGTATTTTTTTGGCAAAACAAAAAAATCACAAACATTAAAACATTGTGTATATTAAGTACATCTAGAAAAGTGTATGCAAAATATTTCATATTTAAATAGAAGGGACCAGGGCTCAATGCTGCTTGGCCCGGGGCTTCTCTCTACCTCTCCACGTGGCGGGAGCAGGTGAGGGTCGGCATCAGCCCGCAGGGCCGGCGGAGGATTGTTTCCCTGCACCCCACTCCTTAAAAACGCGAAAGTCAACTTCTGTAGTCCGTTCACGGTGTCCTGGGATCCACGCTGGACGGTGGCGGCCGACTTTCAGCTTGACCTGAATTTTATTCCTAATCAGCTGTGTGATCTCGGTTGGTCCCAAACGTCTCTGAGCCTCCCTTTCATCTGTGCAGCTGGGCCTCCAGACCCCAACCCCCAGGCGGTGCTTAATCACGTAGACCTTATTCTGCGTGCACTTTACCACAGTTCACCAACCACCGAGCGCTGAGAGCTGTTGAAGCACCTGGAGCAACACAAGACGGATGCGGAGACTGGAAACAGCTGGGGAAGGGGACAAGCTCCAGCCGCGCTGTGGGCCGGAGGCTAGCATCTGCGGGCAAATTCAGGTTCAACGGAAGGCAACATTTTTACCCCTCAGAATTGCTCTGGACGAGGAGGCAGCACCGGATGGGCGAGGGAGGGAGCCTCGCTTTGGCTGCGAGCCCCAACTCTTGCCAACCATCAATTGAGTATAAATTGAGATTTCTGTACAGGATGCCCCTCCCTCTCCACTTTCCTCCACCTGCGTCGGGGTGCGAGAGACCTGGTACATTTTAGAAATGTGCCTCCGCTGAGACACGTAGGCGGGCAATCTCGCAGGGACTTGCTGGGCGTGGTTACTTCCGCGGATCTTGGCGTTCCCACATCTTTGAAGTGCGGTGGGAATCGGCGGCGACTACGTTCACATTGTCCCAATACTTCGTTCCTGAGGGAGGAATAAACTAAAAGTTAATCATAACCTCCCTTCGACCGCGGCAGGACTCGAACCTGCAATCTTCTGATCCGAAGTCAGACGCCTTATCCATTAGGCCACGCGGCCCGTCGGTTGTTACCGTCTCTTGAGCAACTTATAAAAACGTCACCTCCGCCCACCAGCTAGCTCGGGACCAATCCACCTGCTCCTTGAGAAGGGGAGGTTGGCCTTTGGTTCGCGCGTTCCGCAGGGAGAGCCCACCCAGAAGTCCCCCTTCTCCCCCCGCGGGCGGACCGCTCCATTGGCGGCCCTCCTATTGGTCGCGCTGGGAGTCTCCCGCTTGCCTCTCGGGTAGCCGCGGGACCTAGCTGGGTGCAGACGGGAAGTTGCGGCTGCCAGCGAAGCGGACCGGCCGGGTGGAGGCCACACGCTACCCCGAGGCTGCGTAGGCCGCGCGAAGGGGGACGCCGTGCCGTGGGCCTGGGGTCGGGGGAGCAGCAGACCGGGAAGCACCGTGAGGACCGAGGTTTCCGGCGGGGTCGGCGGCGGGGAGGCCGGGTCGCTGAGCGACGGCGCGGCCCCTCCCTCTCCAGTCAGGGAGCGAGGCCCGGAGCAGGGCGGCGGCTAGTCCCAGGGCGCACCGCGGCGCCTCTGCCGGGCGCAGGCGGGCGGCGGGGCGCACGGGGGTGGCCGCCGACTCCTCCTGCAGGACGCTCTCGGCCGGGTGGGCCGTGGTCCGGGTGTGGGTGTGGGTCCCGGGGGACGGCGGCCCACCCTGCGGGTTCGAATCCGGGCGCTGGCACCTCTCGACGCTAGGCCCGCGCCGGTCGCGGTAATGGCAGCCACCATTTGCCGAGCGCTTGCCAAGAGCAGGGCCGCACGACATAGGCGCCCTGTGTCCCCCAGACAGCAGCCCGGTGTGACAGGCAGAATCCGTAATCCCATTTTACAGAATAGGATATCAGGGCCTAAGGAGCTTTGCCCAAGGTCACACAGCTCGAGAGAGCCAGAAGCGGGGTTCAAAACCGCGTCGCCCTACTCCAGATACTGCTCTCTTACTCGCTGCCCTCGGCTTCCCCACGTGGGTTCACTGACGAAGTTGCGTGGACCCCGGTTCCCCCAGGAGGGGTATTGACGTTTCCCAAGTTTTGAGGCTTAACGGAAAATGCAACTGAAGCGCCTGGCACAGTGTTGGGGACGCAGTAAATGCTCAAGGAATGATGATTATGGATACACCTATTACATATATGGTAAAATAACGCTTTATATCATCTGTCTCCTTTAGGATTTGGGGTGGAAGGCAGGCATGGTCAAACCCATTTCACTGACAGGAGAGCAGAGACAGGACGTGTCTCTCTCCACGTCTTCCAGCCAGTAAAAGAAGCCAAGCTGGAGCCCAAAGCCAGGTGTTCTGACTCCCAGCGTGGGGGTCCCTGCACCAACCATGAGCCGCCTGCTCTGGAGGAAGGTGGCCGGCGCCACCGTCGGGCCAGGGCCGGTTCCAGCTCCGGGGCGCTGGGTCTCCAGCTCCGTCCCCGCGTCCGACCCCAGCGACGGGCAGCGGCGGCGGCAGCAGCAGCAGCAGCAGCAGCAGCAGCAGCAACAGCAGCCTCAGCAGCCGCAAGTGCTATCCTCGGAGGGCGGGCAGCTGCGGCACAACCCATTGGACATCCAGATGCTCTCGAGAGGGCTGCACGAGCAAATCTTCGGGCAAGGAGGGGAGATGCCTGGCGAGGCCGCGGTGCGCCGCAGCGTCGAGCACCTGCAGAAGCACGGGCTCTGGGGGCAGCCAGCCGTGCCCTTGCCCGACGTGGAGCTGCGCCTGCCGCCCCTCTACGGGGACAACCTGGACCAGCACTTCCGCCTCCTGGCCCAGAAGCAGAGCCTGCCCTACCTGGAGGCGGCCAACTTGCTGTTGCAGGCCCAGCTGCCCCCGAAGCCCCCGGCTTGGGCCTGGGCGGAGGGCTGGACCCGGTACGGCCCCGAGGGGGAGGCCGTACCCGTGGCCATCCCCGAGGAGCGGGCCCTGGTGTTCGACGTGGAGGTCTGCTTGGCAGAGGGAACTTGCCCCACATTGGCGGTGGCCATATCCCCCTCGGCCTGGTAAGTAGGGGCAGGGTTGGGGACATAAGCAGGCATGGGGGCCCAGCTTAATAGTTTGTTTCAGTGAACATTTTCTGAGGTCCTGTTACGGGCTGGGTGCTCACGTAGGGAGCGCTGATGTGTTGAATTAGGACTAGACCCCTGTTTATGTGGGACTCACTTTCTGGTGGGAAGATCACAGGCAGTAAGCAAATACCCAAGTAAATGTCAGGCAGTAAAGGCCACGCAGAGAATCACAGTAGAGCGCTGTACATGAGACCTTCGGGAGGCCACTTAAGATCACGGTGATTTGGTGCCTTTACCCCCTCTCCTAATAGCGTCATGAGAAGTTAGTCTGAAAAGTCATTTGAACAGTGTTTCTATTTGGGGAGCTATTAATTATTTTGGGCGGTAGAAAGCTCCCTTTTGTGGGACTGTCCCAGGCAGTATAGGACATTTAGCATCCCCAGCCTTTCCCATAAACGCCAGACCAACACCCCCCCGCCCCCCTGCCCCCGCCGGCAACGTTTCCAGACGCCCCCTTGAGGTGGCATCTGGTTGACCACCCCTAGTTGAGAAACATTGCTTCCTTCCCCCAGCCTTCCAAGCAGGCATTTTGGTCCCAAACAAGTATATCCAATCTCTCTTTTCTTTTTAAATAACTTTCTAAGTGCTACCCAAGTTTCTTTTTCAAACAATGATGGCAGTACTGTTTCTCCCCTTTTTTTATTCTTCATTCCAGGATTAAAATACTATTTACAACCTTAATGCTTTCAGGCATGGCCAGCAAAAAAGTTGGCAGTTTCTTTATTCCTATTGGAAGCTACATCTTTGTAAAGAAAGCTGCGAAATGTTAAATATGCAGTTGAAAATGGTGAAAACATGGCTAAATAGATAAGGTAGGCATTAATGGCTGAAAAGAGCAAAACTAGATGATTCTGCATTGATTGAGTTCCAGTTACAATGAGAATCACACTACTTAGAATATGTAACTTGATGGTCAAAGTAAAGGGGAATATCGGCCATCATTTGAAAAGATAAAGTAGGCTTTGGTGGCTGAAAGAAAATTAGGAAACCAGTGACAAGAAAGATTTGTTTTTTGATCTGTCGGTCATTTTAGGCCAAATTACCTCAAGTCCCCTTTTCTTTTCTCTTTCTCCTTCTTTCTCTCTTTTTACCTCTCCTTTCCCTCCCTGTCCTTCCCTGCTCTGCCCTCATTCTCATTCCATTCTTGCCAGTGGTACTCGGGGCATTGCTTAGTTGACCTGATGGCAGAAGTCACTGTTAAGGCCTGGGCTCATGCTGGGACCTTCCTCCTGGGAGTCTGACTGGTGGGTGGGGGTGGGTGCCACATGGTGCCCTAATAGCGGTCCACTTTGAACCTGGGCATGCCCCTGCCCCTTAGCTGAGTAACATTAGGTACCTGACCAGCCCACAATTTACAATGGGAGGAGAAGCGGTAGTCAGCTATGAGCCTCCCACAGGGCAGCTTCTTCCCAAAGGGTGTTGGTAAGGGCTTCGGCCATCAGGCTAGAGGGACGTCTCTCTGGCCATCAGCATTTTTCTA
The DNA here is from genome assembly GCF_000001405.40 of Homo sapiens. Taxonomy (NCBI): domain Eukaryota; kingdom Metazoa; phylum Chordata; class Mammalia; order Primates; family Hominidae; genus Homo; species Homo sapiens. The sequence continues at coordinate 89,331,549 of NC_000015.10, read as the reverse complement.
AGATTCACAGTAAAACTAGTATTAATGGCATGGATCCCTACTCATCTTAAATTTGGCTTGTTTCTTTTTAATCACTAGTTTATAATATGGCTTCATGCACAGCTGCAGAGCTGCATCTTGACACCAGTGTGGCTTTTTACTGTAACCAAAGTTCCTGTTACCACCATGGCCTCAAAGATTTGGCATTCTTTAGCCTTTTTGTCTGCGTTGTTTTAAGGGCTTTGACATGCTGAATTAAAATGTGGGGGGGTGGGGATTTCTTTCAGTCCCTTGGCTTATTTTCACCATTTGGAGTATGAGTTCGATTTTGTCAGGTTTAAAACTAGGAACCTCTTTTTGCTTTCTCTTTGAAAGAAGTTAGTTTTATGTGTGTTGAATCTGTTGAGGCAGATACTCCCTTTTTCCCTTCCATAAAGGTTGCAAGGAGCTCCTTCGCAGCTGTGTTGTCCACACGTGGCCTCGTCACTCACTTTGATGCTGAGTGGGCCTTGATTGTTTAGAATAATCTGTGGCTTGCAACAGGCATTTCCTCAGTGGCCATTCCCCTACACCTAGCCTTGTGGATCTTGAGCAAACTGCAGCCTTTTCCTGAATCAGTGTCGGGCCCCCAACAGGCAGCACTCATCCCCTATCCCTCCCACCCCAACCCTGTCACATACACATACATTTTCTCATTCTGGCACTTTCCCTGGTTCTCACTGAGGGTGGTTGCTTCTCCAAGGTGTGTGATTTGCTCTTTGTCCCCCAGAATCTTTTCAGCCGTGAGATGATTCATCCTGTACATGTGTGCAGCAGCATTTGTCATTTTTTTTTTTTTTGCCAATTCAATTAAATCTCCACCTTGGGTTCTGTTATTGTCTATCTCCTTTACTAGTACTTTGAACAGTAGCTGGTTTGTGCCTGTAGACGTGAGGGGTTGATAATGTTCATAAAACCTCAGAGCTAGATGCAGACTCAGTGAACGCTGGGCCTAGCAAACACCTTGATAGCCCAGGCTGTAATAGAATACCTGCACGTAGGTCTAATAGCCCAGTAGTTCCATTTTTATGTGCAGAAGTTTAAAGAAGCTTTTGTAGCTCTTGCCCGCCAGCACACACACCCACCCTGCCACACCTGACCTGTAGCTGTTTGAGTTAGGAGCACCCTTTGGTCTCACTTGTGTCCCCAGCTGCCAATGCACCATCTGGCATGTGGCGGTAGGTGTGCAGTGGTTGTTGTGGAGTGGAAGTTTAATGTCTCCATGGTGAACCTGCCTGCCTCTCACCTCCCTCAGGTATTCCTGGTGCAGCCAGCGGCTGGTGGAAGAGCGTTACTCTTGGACCAGCCAGCTGTCGCCGGCTGACCTCATCCCCCTGGAGGTCCCTACTGGTGCCAGCAGCCCCACCCAGAGAGACTGGCAGGAGCAGTTAGTGGTGGGGCACAATGTTTCCTTTGACCGAGCTCATATCAGGGAGCAGTACCTGATCCAGGTAAGGTTCCTGGGGCCAACTGCAGGTTCTGGCATGGGATGGGCCAGGAGCCCTAATCTCAGTGGTTAGGGGAGGTACTCCTTTCCTGGCACGTGTCTCTGTTGCCTTTGCTGAAGCCGCAAGGCGCATCTGTTGACCAGCTGTGCCTCTGGTCTCTGTGCCTAGCTGTTGTATGTCCCCGGGAAAGCCTGGTATAGGACCTAAGTTGTCACAAAGTAATAATGGCCTTCGTCTCTGTGGCATTTTAGAGCTTAGCATGGGTCTTGAAGGTTTTGAGCCACAGCCTGGGCTCACTTCCTGCCTTAACCACCGATGACTACTGTGAGCGCCTTAACATCTCTAAGTCTTAGTTTCCTTTTTTATAAAAAGGCAGACATAACAGAAATCTCATAGGATTAATAGGAGGGTTGGAACAATGCCTGCATGTCAAACACTCAGCACTCTGCCTGGTGTATAGTAGTGGCAATTCTTAATTTTATGAAAAGTGTTTTTTCACTGGATCTTCACAACAGCCCTAGAAGATAGGCCAGGCAGGGGAGAGCAACCTTACCCTATAGCTGAGGGTGCTGAGGCTCAGACAGCCTTGTTGACATGCTCAGGGCCACAGAGCTTTTGAGTGGCAGGGTTGGGGCCAGACCAGATAGCCCTGAAGGCTTTATTTTGGCCACTCTGTATCTACGTTGCTCAGAGCTATTGTTGGAAGCTGAGAAGGACTTGCACATTGGGATTGAGCCAGGCCTGCATCTTAAAGGGTGGCTAGGATTTGGGAAGGCAGGCCCCTTACAGGTGATGGGGCAAGCATGAACAAGCATGAGGATTCTGTATTTGGTGTTGAAGGCTGTGTGCTGGGAGGGGAGGCTGTTTGAGGAGCTGAGGTGGGGCTGGAGGTCCACACCACCAAGCAGTGGTGGGCTGGCCCCACAGTTGCAGCCTCCCTCCTTCCCTTCCCTTTTCTCCTCCTCCTCCTCAGGGTTCCCGCATGCGTTTCCTGGACACCATGAGCATGCACATGGCCATCTCAGGGCTAAGCAGCTTCCAGCGCAGTCTGTGGATAGCAGCCAAGCAGGGCAAACACAAGGTCCAGCCCCCCACAAAGCAAGGCCAGAAGTCCCAGAGGAAAGCCAGAAGAGGCCCAGCGGTGAGAGCACACTGCCGGTGGGCAGGAGCATAGTGCTTGGGACCCCCTCTCACCAGCCCGTCTGGCCCGAGGCCAGGCTGATCTGCCATGTCCCTTGCTCTGGTTCCCCAGATCTCATCCTGGGACTGGCTGGACATCAGCAGTGTCAACAGTCTGGCAGAGGTGCACAGACTTTATGTAGGGGGGCCTCCCTTAGAGAAGGAGCCTCGAGAACTGTTTGTGAAGGGCACCATGAAGGACATTCGTGAGAACTTCCAGGTATGGTGCTGGAGGGGGCTCTGGGGACATGGGCTGTGGCACACCCCTAGCTGCACTTGGGGAGATGCAGCTGCCAGGCCTGACCCTGAGAGCTGGTGGTGGTAATGGGATGGCTGCCCACCTTGCGCCTTCCTGTCACCTTGTGCCAGGACCTGATGCAGTACTGTGCCCAGGACGTGTGGGCCACCCATGAGGTTTTCCAGCAGCAGCTACCGCTCTTCTTGGAGAGGTGAGGGGGAGCCCATGTGGGAATCTCTGGGGGTCAGTGTGTTCCTGGTACCCGGGCCCACTGTAATCAGGTGGCGCTGGTTCTATCTCAGGTTGGGGACCTTAGCTTTTCTAGGCTGAAAGAATGGAGCCCTTCTGTTCAGTGGTGTCCATCTGGGCCCTGGACTCTGGATTTGACAGAGGCCCTGAAGGGGAGGGCCATGGAGTTGTGCTTGTGTGTCATGTGCACGGTCCTGGTTTACTGTGCACCTTCTCTAACTAGATCCTTAGCCAAGGGCTTCACATACAGCGTGGTTATGTTTATTAATGAGTCTGTCTTATGAAGTGACCCTTGTATGCTGAAAATTCAGGTATATTTGTACCAAAGATATGGAAAGAAAAAAGAAGGGAGGAAAATTTGGGTGTAACTTTTGACTCCCTCAGAGCTTAACTACTAATAGCTTGCTGTTGGCTAGAAGCTTTACTGATAACATAATACATATTTTTTATGTTATACGTATTATATACTGTATTCTTAAAGTAAGCTAGATAAAAGAAAATGTATTAAGAAAATCATGAGGAGAAAATATGTTTACTATTCATTAGGTGGAAGTGGATCATCATAAAGATATCTATCCTTCACGTTGAGTAGGCTGAGGGCGGGGGTTGGGCTTGCTGTCTCGGGTGGCTAAGGCTGAAGAAAATAAATGTGTAAGTGAACTTGCACGATCCAGACATGTGTTGTTTAAATGTCAGCTGTATTTTACCACCCAAGTTGTGAGGTTCAGGCATGATGTTTTTCATGTATGGGATTATTAGCACAGTGCCTGGCACAGAGTCATTACTCCACGTGTGGCAGCCATTTTCACTTTTGCCATCTATATTTCCCACATTACCCCTGAGGATGGGATGATATTGTTCCCATTTTATAGATGAAAGAACTGAGGCTCCGAGAGATGGGGTTGCTTACCCAGGGATGAGTAACAGTAGAGCTGGGATTTAATGCCGTCTGACTTTTGAGCTGTGCCATGTCAGTGGCTGGGTTGAGGCTTGCTAAACCAGCTCAGGGATTGGGCCAGTCTTGCCTCCTGTGGTCATTTATGGCAGCTCCTGGTGTTTGCCTCCAAGGTGTCCCCACCCAGTGACTCTGGCCGGCATGCTGGAGATGGGTGTCTCCTACCTGCCTGTCAACCAGAACTGGGAGCGTTACCTGGCAGAGGCACAGGGCACTTATGAGGAGCTCCAGCGGGAGATGAAGAAGTCGTTGATGGATCTGGCCAATGATGCCTGCCAGCTGCTCTCAGGAGAGAGGTAGCCAGGCCTTGGGTGGGCAGGATCTAGGCAGGGGACTGGCAGGTGGGCGGCCTAGCCTTCGGCTTAGCCTTAGCCCTGCCCTAGTGGACTGGCTCTGTAGGTACAAAGAAGACCCCTGGCTCTGGGACCTGGAGTGGGACCTGCAAGAATTTAAGCAGAAGAAAGCTAAGAAGGTGAAGAAGGAACCAGCCACAGCCAGCAAGTTGCCCATCGAGGGGGCTGGGGCCCCTGGTGATCCCATGGATCAGGAAGGTGGGGAGCATGGGTGGGAGGTAGGGTAGGGTAGGGGTTGTCTCTGGGAAGGTCCTGTGATTGAGGGGGTCCTTCGAAAGGATTGCTCCAGCCTTCTGGAGATGAGCGGGTGGGAGCAGATCTTATTGAGAGTTCCTTCTCCTGCTCCTGATTGTCTTCCCCCACCCTCACAGACCTCGGCCCCTGCAGTGAGGAGGAGGAGTTTCAACAAGATGTCATGGCCCGCGCCTGCTTGCAGAAGCTGAAGGGGACCACAGAGCTCCTGCCCAAGCGGCCCCAGCACCTTCCTGGACACCCTGGGTGAGCCCTGCCCACCCCCAGCAGTGTATCTAGAGTCTACCCTTGCTCCATTCTCAGGACAGCCCTGGTCTGGGTTCTGGCACAGAGGCATCATGCACATGTATACTTATTGACCTGCTGCCATTCAGTCACACTGTCTTCCAGTCCTATTCTCATTTGCTCACTCTGGACCGGCTCACTGGACTCATTCAGCACAGTGTTGTGAGCACCTGCTGTGCAATGGCCCGTGGCAGCCACCGGGTGTACACACTGGAGCATAGCTCCTCCTTTCCAGTAGTTCTTTTTCCTAGGAGGAGCCAGGCACGTAGACCAGCCAGTGCAGCTAGTGTCCATAGGTAGAGTTCTGACTCTGCCTCGGGAAATAAATCAAGAAGGCTTCCTTGAGAAGGTGCCCCTTCCTTTGAGCCTCATAGGGTGGCAGAGATGAGAAAAAGGGCAGCCAGGGTGAGCAGCAGGGTGCCAGCTTTGCACCTGCAAGACCCTGAGAGCAAGTGTCCTGAGTGCCTTGCTAGTCTCACCCTGGGCTCAACTCTGGTGAACAGCCTGCAAGAGAGCACCCAGAAGGACTGGTGTTTCTCTAGAGGGGTGGGGAGGGCAGATCTGCTCCCTCCTCTGGTCAGTTACCCTGGATGAAATGGAGCTTGGGAAGGAGCCCTGCCCTGGGTCAGGGTATGCTTTTGTGTCCTGGCTTCTGACTAGTCCAGTGGGACTGACTTAGTGTCTTTGCTTTTGAAATATTCTTCTAGAGGATTCCATGGGGGTCCTGGCTAAAGCATCCCAGAGGAGGGGATGGCGGCTGTAGGCTGGGGTCACCAGAAAGCCCCAGGGCTTTGGAGGGTGGGTGGGGACATTGTGAGAGAGAGAACCTTCCCCCCAACAACTGCCCTTACCATCGTGACACTGCTGTCTTCCTGCTGGGACGTAGATGGTACCGGAAGCTCTGCCCCCGGCTAGACGACCCTGCATGGACCCCGGGCCCCAGCCTCCTCAGCCTGCAGATGCGGGTCACACCTAAACTCATGGCACTTACCTGGGATGGCTTCCCTCTGCACTACTCAGAGCGTCATGGCTGGGGCTACTTGGTGCCTGGGCGGCGGGACAACCTGGCCAAGCTGCCGACAGGTACCACCCTGGAGTCAGCTGGGGTGGTCTGCCCCTACAGGTAAGGCTTAGGCCCAGGGGAGGAAGGGGCTGGAGCCTAGGGACCCCTTCCCCTGGCTGGTCAGCTCAGGCTAGTGGAAAGAGTTTGGGTTCAAGAGTCTGGGTTCAGAAGAAGGGAAAACAGGAAAAAAATTAACACACACACACACACCCTCTCTCTCTCTCTTTCTCTCTCTCTCACTCACTCACTCACTCTCTCTCTCACTCACTCACTCTCTCACTCACTCTCTCACTCACTCACTCTCTCACTCACTCTCTCACTCACTCACTCTCTCACTCTCTCACTCACTCACTCACTCACTCACTCTCTCACTCACTCTCTCACTCACTCACTCACTCTCTCTCACTCTCTCACTCACTCACTCTCTCACTCACTCACTCACTCACTCACTCTCTCACTCACTCACTCACTCTCTGGGTTCAGGTTTTTTCTTCCATGGCTACCCTTACCCTCTGGATCTCAGAGCTCTGGGAGGGAGTATGTTGAGATGTTCACAGTGGGGAGGACTAAAGGCCCTACTCTTGGGCCCAGAAGCATAGCTGCCTTCACAGGAACATGCGGAGGGCTGTTACAAGTAGCAGGGAGATGGGCTTTTAAAAAAGTGTGTGTATATAATTTGAGTGATAATTATGGGCCAAGCAGTGCTTCCCTTATTTGTTCCCCAAGGAGTCCCATGAGCTAGAATGGTTATCCCCATGTTGTAGTTGACAAAGGCTTGGTTGACTTAAGATCACAGACCCTGAGCTTTAGGCAGGCAGGTGTTGGGGAGAAACTTACAGTGGCCCAGAATTAAGAGTCCTGGCTCTTCAGGGCAGCCTGAGTCTCTTATGGGGCCATGGGACCAAAGGGGATAACACTGGCCTTGCTCCTTTGAGCCCGAGGGTAGGTGAGCGGACAGGAGCCAGCCTGCAGCTGGGCCTTGGGTCCTGTCCTCCCGCTGCTGTGCTCTCAGAACTTCTCTTGAGACGGCAGCTCTGTAGTGTAAGAGGAACTTGGATTTGAGTGAGACAAGGCCTTGAACCCCAGCCTGCTGCCAGGGTGCTGTCATTTTCAGTTTGTCAATCAATCCCTGTCTAAAACCCGGGAAAGTGCTATCTGGTTCTGCCTCAGAGCTGATTCTGAGGACTAAACAAAGGGAATTGTGGAAGGCACTAGCAAGCTGCCTGGCCCAGAGTGGGCATCTGGTAATCAGCGGCTGCTGCTGCTACTGTTCTCTGCCCAGAGCCATCGAGTCCCTGTACAGGAAGCACTGTCTCGAACAGGGGAAGCAGCAGCTGATGCCCCAGGAGGCCGGCCTGGCGGAGGAGTTCCTGCTCACTGACAATAGTGCCATATGGCAAACGGTGAGGGCAGGCTCTGAACCTGAGCTTTGGGGAGGGGAGGTCTCTGTATTCCACCCAGGGAAGGGGCAGCCTTTGGGTGGGAGGCTGGCACTGGTGGCTCACCCCAGACTGGCCTGCAGTGTCTGAGTACCATGCAGGGAGGGGCTGGTGGATTGGGGCCTACCCAGTCCCCTGCTTCACTACTTTGGTCCTTGGACTGCTCCAGGTAGAAGAACTGGATTACTTAGAAGTGGAGGCTGAGGCCAAGATGGAGAACTTGCGAGCTGCAGTGCCAGGTCAACCCCTAGCTCTGGTGAGCAGTGCGCCGGCTTGGGTTCTCTAGGTGGGTGCTGGGTGGAAAGGGCTTCCTCTTGCCCACCTAGTTCTTCCCAGCCAGAGTTCCCTAGGTCTTAAGGGGGTTGGAGATGCCACCCTGCCCCTGGGAGGCCCCACACGTGTTGGAGCAAGGAGAAAGCCTGGGTGAGACCTCATGGCCATCTTGTCATTTCCCAGCTGATGACGACAGTTTCAGGCCCTTTTCCCACCCCCTACCCCATGGCCCTTGCTGAATGCAGGTGCTGGAGCAGGGCCTGATATAGGTGTGTGGCCCTCACAGACTGCCCGTGGTGGCCCCAAGGACACCCAGCCCAGCTATCACCATGGCAATGGACCTTACAACGACGTGGACATCCCTGGCTGCTGGTTTTTCAAGCTGCCTCACAAGGTGTGTCCTGGGTCATGGCCTGTCCTGTGGTGTTTCCTCATTCTGCTCAAGGCCCACAGCAGGCCTTCAGAGTGACACACCTGAGACTTTCCTTTTTGTGGGAATGACTAGTAGTGGGACAGAGTGTGATTTCAGGCACATACTGTCATCTCTCAGCTTTTGTTTTTCTAATGAAAGTCGGGTGGCAAGGGGCATGGTGGTGGAATTAAATGACATGGGGCACGTCGTATGTTTGGTACGACATCTGGTACGTGATAGGTTTTTCCGATTTGTTATTATGCAGGGAGCCAGGTTTGCTTGTGTCTGTGTGTCTTAGGGGGCATGTGTGTGCACGTGTGTGTGTGCGTGCGCGCGTGCGCGCGTGCGTGATACAATCAGGGATTTGCCTCAGACTGCTGAGGTTCTGGGCTCAGTGTTGGGAGGAGTGCAGGTACTCACGTTGGTTCCCCACCCAGGGGTCTGCCACCTGCCTCCAGCCCCTGCTTCCTTTGCTCTGTCCAGGATGGTAATAGCTGTAATGTGGGAAGCCCCTTTGCCAAGGACTTCCTGCCCAAGATGGAGGATGGCACCCTGCAGGCTGGCCCAGGAGGTGCCAGTGGGCCCCGTGCTCTGGAAATCAACAAAATGATTTCTTTCTGGAGGAACGCCCATAAACGTATCAGGTGGGCCACCATGGGAGGAGTCCTGGGATGCCTTTCCCCTCTCTTCCCACCCAGGGACCCCTGACTAACCCTGGATTCCCACAGAGGGCCAGCCTGACTATGGTCTAGAGGCCTGGCTACTTTTGGTCCTGGTGCCATGGACCTTGGGCAGGTCTCCCCTCTAGCTTCAGTTTCCCTGTTAATGTAAAAAGAATGGTGCTGTAGGACCATGAGAGCCCTTCGTAGCTCCAACAGAACTTCTTGGTGTAACTGCTGGAGCCGTGGGCTATGGCTGAGGACCATGGAGAGCTGGTGGCCTGTAAGCCCTGTTGGGGGCTGGGAGCTGGGTCTTCTAGTCTGGAATGGCAAATGTATTCATCTTGAAGGCCATTTCCAAGGTGGTTGTGGCCATCAGCACACTGGCGAGCAGAGTGGGTGTTGGGATGGTGAAGTCTGCCTGTGTGTAGGAAGAGGCATTGGTGGAAGGAGCGCCTCATGGATGCCCCCCGGAGAGGAGCGGAAGCTCGCTCGGAGGCCTGGCCGGTTCCCAGATGGTTTATGCTCTTGATTGGTGTATCATAGGGCCCCAGTTCTTGGCTGAGCCAGGGCTCACCTTGAGTCCAGTTAGTGAGGCTGGGTAATGGAGTATAGCAGTCCTGGAGGTGGGCAGGTGAGGGCCATGGTGGGATGTGGGATAGATTCTGCTTCCCATGGCTGTGCTGAGCCTCACGTTGTCTGTCCCCACAGCTCCCAGATGGTGGTGTGGCTGCCCAGGTCAGCTCTGCCCCGTGCTGTGATCAGGTATGGTCTGCTGAGTGGTTGTAGGGATAGGAGAACTGAGGTGAGGTGGTAGGTCCTAAGGCCAAAGCACCCTGCTAAGACCCATTTCCTTCCCCTGCACCCCACCAGGCACCCCGACTATGATGAGGAAGGCCTCTATGGGGCCATCCTGCCCCAAGTGGTGACTGCCGGCACCATCACTCGCCGGGCTGTGGAGCCCACATGGCTCACCGCCAGCAATGCCCGGGTATGTGACCTCTGTACCTCTGGCCCCTGCTCTTCCTCTCCCAGGTCTGTAGAAACTGGGCTCTGAGGGCCTTTAGGTATTTAGTGAGGATCATGAAAAGGACCCTGTGATCTGGGTCAGGCAGGACTCTAGTCAAATCTGGCTTCATGATTTCTGTCCACTCCTTCAGTAAATATGTTCTGGGCACCTGCTCCTGGCCAGACCGTGACAGGCGTAATAGCTACAGCTCTCATGGAATTTAGATAGGACCGTGTAGGTGAGGGGTCTGGCATAGCGCTAGGCATAGAGTAGATTCTTTACCTGTCACACCAATTGCTGATAGGTGGCCATCTCTGGAACTGTGGAATTTCAGCAGTGCTGTCTGGCATTCTCTAAAGCCATCCCCTCAGGAAAGGCTCTAGCTCTTTCTCAGTCAACTCTGGCTCCAGGAATGGGGTAGGAAGAGTCTCATTTGGGTATCTCACTCTTCCCACAGCCTGACCGAGTAGGCAGTGAGTTGAAAGCCATGGTGCAGGCCCCACCTGGCTACACCCTTGTGGGTGCTGATGTGGACTCCCAAGAGCTGTGGATTGCAGCTGTGCTTGGAGACGCCCACTTTGCCGGCATGCATGGTGAGCAGGAGCCGGGGTTGGGGCAGCCCAGCCCCTCAGCATATTGACAGTTCTGATGAACATTGGGCAGAATGTTCCTGAGCTGCTTTTCTCACTCCTGCTTGTCTTCCAGGCTGCACAGCCTTTGGGTGGATGACACTGCAGGGCAGGAAGAGCAGGGGCACTGATCTACACAGTAAGACAGCCACTACTGTGGGCATCAGCCGTGAGCATGCCAAAATCTTCAACTACGGCCGCATCTATGGTGCTGGGCAGCCCTTTGCTGAGCGCTTACTAATGCAGTTTAACCACCGGCTCACACAGCAGGAGGCAGCTGAGAAGGCCCAGCAGATGTACGCTGCCACCAAGGGCCTCCGCTGGTGAGGGTCCCTCTCCCATCCACTTTAACACCCAGGACCCGAGGCCTGCTTTACTGTCCTTTAGTACTACCATCTGTTCTATCTCCTGCCCATTACTTGAACTCTCACCTAGCCCCTCTCCTTCCACACCTGTGTAACCTGGTTCCAGGATGATTTGTCCTATTGTGACATTTGGTTGCTTTATAGTCAGCCTTAAACAGTTTTTCCTCATGGGAGTAAAGCTATACTTTTGGTATACTGTTACCAAGTGGTAGCATCTTGACAATTCTGATTATGCTGCATAATCAATAATACAGGGGTTGCAAACTCAGATGCCTACAGGGAATGAGAGCAAATGGAGTGGGTGGAAGACAGGAGTTGACAGGAGGGCGCTGTGGCAAACTGGAGCATGTAGGCTGATGTTGATACTGGAGAAAGCATTACCAGGCCTCCAGGTTACTTAGCCTAGCTCTCCAATTTGTTTCCTCTGATCGTACTGCATACTGTGTGCTCAGGGCCTTAGCAGACTCTCTGCAGGGTTCCAAAAACATTGAGGGAAGAGAGGTACAACTTCCTGAGGTACAGTACACTGTCCACATTTAATTAGCTGGCTCATTGTGGAAACTTCACTTTCTCGTCAACAACTAAAAGTTAAGTATGTGATAAATGATATAGTGGTTGATGACTATAAATGCAGGGAAGGGGAGCTGAGTATCGTCC